>NC_000018.10:52732575-53033241 GCF_000001405.40 Homo sapiens | reverse complement strand
CTAGTTGCAGACTGAGTAAAAATAAGAGCTAACCATGGCATGCTTGGGGTTTTGCCAGTTGAGTTCCTTCATTACACTCCAACTGAAGTCTGCCTCACCCACAACATTCTTATTTCTATAAGTCATTGTATTCCCTTTTGACTTTACCCTGTTTAGGAGTCTTCAGTCACTTGTCACAGAACCAGCGCTAACTTTCATGGAGACTAACTCTATTTAACCTGAATGTAAAGCATACTAAAGCAGAGAATTCTCAACTCATTAAGAGTCTTTATGTGAACAACTAGGTATGCCATTACGCTTTTAAAGATTTTATGTGGGTTGCTGAGAAAACTCAGATTTAGAGCCAAAGGGAGTTTTCTGGGAGAGTCACCATTTCCACCTCAAGTGTTAGTCTGACTTGAACTGCAGGTTTTTCTTTTTATTAGAAACTAATTTCCCCAGCAGTCAGCTACAGGGCTCCAAACTCTGCTCAGAAAAGAATCCCTATGTCCTCATGCACTCTGTACCCTAAAGCTCTCACAGTAGCTCAGAGTATACTAGCTCTTCATCTCCAAGGGGTTACCACGTGGGCATTTTTCTTATTCATTTTTTCCATATAAATGCAAAATTATTAAGTGTGGAAACTTGAGATTTTCTTATTTCAGGAACTATGACGATAGGTAGTGAATCCACAGATACAATGCATAGGACCAAAGATGCCTAAATCCTAAAAGAATTTTTACATGAAAGACAATGCACCTAAAATTAGACTTTTATTCAAAATTCATGCTATGCATGCAAAATATGTTTGTCAAAACACAAGCAACCTCATATATCACAAGAAAAAGGTTAACTCAATAAGCTTCTGTATTCCATGCAAAGAGCTGACAACAAAGAAATCAAATGAGAAATACATACACTTGGTCTACCTATTTTCCAGAAAATTATCTTTCTTTCAGGTAAAAGGGCTTTTAATATATTTTCTTCTTTTTCCTCCCAAATAAGACTTTATATAGAGAAAATTAGAATCAATTCTCTTTCTCACGTTCTTCTAGACAAGTTTTGTATTTTTTTATTTGAGGAGATTCTAAATCTTCATGGCAGGAAAAAATAAACTGATTCAAAAAGATGAAAGTATGTTCTGTATTATTTCTAGATGATGACATTGTCTTCTGTACCCAAACAACAGGAAAATCTGTGGCTGACCTCCTGAGTACAATATACATATTTCACAAAATCACACCATCTGCTAGTCAGCTTGCATATTTGCTAAAATATCACATTCTTATATTGCTGGACCAGTTCAACCAAGAACATCAAAATGCCCCTTTTTGAAAAATGCATTAACAGAAAATTAAAATTAGTTAAACTTGCATACATACAATGCACACACACACACATACACACTCCCACATCTATAAAATGATTTTTAATTTTCAATATAATTAAAAACATATGCTACAAAGAGTATGTTACAAAACCTTAGGAGTCCTTCCCAAGAAAGTATCATTGAAATACTTTAGCCAACTGAAGAAATTATTTAAACATAATTTTAGATTGGTGTCCAGTGTATATAATTTTGATGAACCCTAATATTATATTTATTTTTGTCTTATATTTCCTTGAAAATTTTTTTAGTTCTATTAATCTCCCTTTCCTTTTTTTCACTCAAATTTTATTTTGTATTCAAAATTTGAATAAGCCAAATAACTAAGTCCTGCAGATATACAGCAAAGTCATTTCTGTCTGATCCAAATCAGTTATCACTCTTACAACAGAAAAGAATTGGACCCTCATCTCCAGTACTCTAAAGATCTGTACTTTTAGCAACTTCCAACTTCCCACATAATATTTTAGAGTGAAAAAAAGTTGATTTTAATCAGAAAAGATGAGGAACTCTAATTTACAATGCAACAAGACTGCAATATATCTAGTCTATGAAATAATTTTATCAAGATTCTAAGGGATCACAAGACAGAAAAGAATATTTTATTTTATTTTATTGAGAGAGAGTTTTGCTCTGTTGCCTAGGCTGGAGTGCAGTGGCACAATCTCAGCTCACTGCAACCTCTGCCTCCCAGGTTCATGCAATTCTCCGGCCTCAGCCTCCCAAGTAGCTGGGATTACAGATGCCCACCACAAAACCTGGCTAATTTTTGTATTTTTAGTAGAAATAGGGTTTCACCATGTCGGCCAGGCTGGTCTCGAACTCTTGACCTCACGTGATCCATCTGCCTCAGCCTCTCAAAGCGCTGGGATTATAGGCGTGAGCCACCCCACCCAGCCAGAAAAATATTTCAAGAGAGATTCATAGTCTAATATATAGGTAATGTGGCCCCATTTGTGGATGTGGACAACACTGCTCAAGAAGGTGATAGATAAAATTCCAGGTCACCTGCCTCCTAGTGTGCAGGTATATGTATTTCATTTCACTGTTTCTCCTAAGAATGCATTTCAACAGAGTTACTGTTAGTAGGCCTAGGCCCCAGTGAAGTGAGGGAATGCAACTAACACTGTGCTCCGTTCTAAAATATTTCTCCCACCAGGATGATGCCCAAAATTTCAATCAGAAACCTCTTTCCTTTGAGTTAGAATGTGGTATCCACTAATCCTCAACTAGAAAGCAAAGGCACATACTAAGTTGGGGGCCTTGTTACAGCATAGCCTCTGGTTATTACTCAAGATAGCACAGAGACCTATAGCAATAGGTCCAAGAACAGCTAAGTTTTCATAAATTAGTAGTGAACATATTTCCAGCTTAAAGAAGAGTGCTTCCTGTCATGTACAATGCTAATCCTGAATACTAGATAGAATACTAAAATAGAAATGAAAATGGAATAGACCCTGTTCTTTATGTTGAAGAGTCCCATTCATTTATTCAGTCATTCCACACACTTTATTGAGTATATATTATGTGGCAGAACCTTCCCTGCACTAGATATATAATTATGGTTAGAAAATGTACTGAGATGTCAATGTGTGCATATATCTCCTATACTTTTATCTCTCTTATTCTAGCAAGGTAGCCAGAAGTTAGTGGTCCTACTTTACTGGGGTGGAATGGGGGGATAATAATTGGCTGAAAGCCTAAGTTTCCTGGAGACCATCTCCATTCTTGTCTTTTGTTTTATAACCTAAAACAAAGTGCATTGTGCTAGACATTCCAGGAGGGTTGAGGAAGAAAAGGAAGTTCTTAAAAGGTTAAACTAGGGGAAAGACTTAACATTTATCTAAACCAGAAAGAGTCCCTCTTCTGCTCTGAGAAGACGGTAGAATCTGAGAAGTGAATGGCTGCATAAAATATCTAGGTAGGCTAGATTCTAGAGCCCAGGGCTCCCAACTTCAACAAATACCTCAGTACTCAAACTCAGCACAAAAACAATCGAGTCAACTATCTTTAAGAGACCAGGCAAGCTTAGATGATGACGAATGATGATGAGGACTGATCTAAGACAAATAGGCTCTCTCCACACACAGCCTTACCAAGCCACATGGGACTGTTGAGTAAGTGGAGGAGGGGCATAGGCTGAATAGCCCCTCAAAATGATAGGATAGGGTTTTGTGGTTACTTCAATCAAAATCAAATAAAACAATATGATATATGATGCACCTCTGAGTTTGTGTAGCTATACAAAGATAAAAAAAAGACACATAGAATCTGCCTTCAAGTTATTCAAAACCTAGTGACAGCAACTGGAATATAGAAGTAGATAATTTCCATGAAGTATGGTAAAGGCTACAAACCAGGCATTTCCAGTTTGCTGTGGGATCATGGAGAAGGTATAATTGACTCTGCCCAGTGATTATTTCTACCCTAAATGTACCTTGGAAAAGTCCCAGCAGAATAACTTACATATGATAGGCAAATAATAAACATTTATTGTATGCCATTGCATTACATTCAGGCACATTTCAGGATCTCATGAACAGGTGACACTGTTCTAATGAAGCAATAGAAATTTATTTTAGGCTATTCTTAACCCACATAGCAAAATTATTAATCCCCCATATATCTGTGTTTCCTTGTTCAACCAACTACTAATATTTTCTAATGAGTTATAACTGGCTAAAAATCCACATTTGGGTAATTTTTAGTTCACTTCTTTGTGAATTAATTGTAAAGACAAAATATGGCTCATATGAATCCACATTTGGGTAATTTTTAGTTTACTTCTTTGTGAATTAATTATAAAGACAAAATATGGCTCATATGAATCCACATTTTGGTAATTTTTAGTTCACCTCTTTGTGAATTAGTTGTAAAGACAAAATATGGCTCATATGCATTTCTCCCTCTTAAAACTATAGCTCAAATGGAAAAAGAAAAAACTGGGAAACTTTCTAAGAAGGTAATTTTCTTCATTCCAAGAATTCTCAGCCACATAGCTGAATATAAGCTGAATATAAGGAGAGACATTTCTGAATTTATTTGTGGTATACTAATTGTTTCCTTCATGGTCATACGTTGCAATCATAGCTGCAGTAACACTGGTTGGGTGGGACATTTGGCATATTTGCATGTCATAAAAAGTCCAGTGGAAGTATTGTAGAGGCTACTGTTTAACATTGAGACTATTGTCCTTGTTCAGAGTTTTCATATTAAACTGCAATGAGAAATGTTTAAACAGTCAATTTTGCAAATAATTAATAAAAGAACTATTAGGTTAAGAAGTTATAAAAGAATTAAACTAGCCTGAATTAGAATAATGATTTAAGGATTTTAACAACTACCTAATATGGCTGATAATGGTATAACTATATAATTTCTGGTAAAATACTTTGAATATTATGCGTATGTAATTTTGTGCAGTTAGCTATTTATATAATTTTTCTTCACTTTAGAAATTAAGTGGTGAAAAGAGGCAAGTCTGTTTAGCTGGGGGGACAGGGGCTTCATTAATTGACTGAGAGAAAGACGTGATTATTAAATACAATTTTTAATGCAAGACAAATTTTAATAAAAATAATGTGAATTCTACAGTTGAGAAAGCAAAAATCAAAACAAAACGAAAAGAGTGCTGCTGCTAATGGTACCTGAGGCACATTCAGATATGGATAATAGCACTTCCAATTACCATTGATAGCATTATTTGTCTGAGTTGAACGTGCCCATGTAGGCAACATGAGAGTGTGTTTTCTGCAATGCTATTAACTTGGACACAGTGTATTTTAGACTGGCTACCTGGGCTTTAATAAAAATGTCCATATGCCTGTCATTATGCGATTACTGCTAAATGTTCCCTAATATTTCTTTGTCAGTATTCTTAAATATATCACTGTTCAGGTCTCCATGGTTATCTTTATTCATGCTAACCTGCCTTCACTTCTTTGCTCTAAGACCACCTTACTCGCTCATATGAATCCAGTACTTCCTCCCTTTATAATGCCACTGTCTCCCCTTGGCCAGATTCTCAGAGATTAGAACAGAAAAAAAAAATAACTGCTCTTGACGTGCGTCAAAACTATACGCAAGTTATTGCTAACATCAGTAGGAGAGTAAAGCTGTAAAAGAAGTTGGAGGCTGGAAGTGAGGGAAAGTAAAAGAAAGGAAAGGAGGAGTGAGAAGAAAAGTTGACAGAAAAAGAAGAGAGAAAAAAAGAAAATGGAAATGACTGCTGCTATGAGTGACATCTCAGATGTGTCCAAGTATGGACATACCGAAATGTTTTACAAAGCATTGATTTACCTGGGTTTTCTCCTACAGAGGACCTGAAGCTCTACTTTTGTCAGAGCACTGACATTTCCTGAACATCAGCTTCCCTGCCTGAAAATTATTCATAGTTATACACAATTTCAAACTGGCTCTCCGAATGACATTTAGAGCTCTTTATAAACTTTATAAACTGTGATGAACTATATTAATGTTTGTTGATGCTAATATTAACGTTACTTGACTAGATTTGCCTCTACAATATCTCTCATAAGGATGGATTCTCTGAGGCTTATTCATTGCTGAGCTGTATCAACCCTTTCCACATTCATCATAAACAGTGGATTTTACTCCAGTGTCCCTATAAAACAGGAACCAGATATCTCTACTCCTCCAAGGAAAGTAGCAGCATTGCTATTCTACTACAGTGTAGTAGAAGTCGAGAACCCAATTGTCCTAAGGAGGGTATGCTTTTCCAGGCTGTTATGGTGAGGAATAAGAGACATGAGAAAGAAATACAGCACTCTGTCAGCTTAAGAATGCCCAGGAAATTAGCATTTATGTTGTATTTTTTAAGTGAATAATAAAAGGGATTCAATAATTACAAATAATTTTTTGGATAATCTGTGATGACTGAGAAAGATGAGACAAATTCTTTCAAAGATGGGATGTCATTAGACAGAAATTGGAAATACCCTTCTAGATCTTCATAGACTTCTTCAAATTTTGCTTTTAAAGAAAGAGGGGGTCAGGCCAGGCATAGTGGCTATGCTTGTAATCCCAGCATTTTGAGAGGTCAAGGTAGGAGGATCTCTTGAGGCCAGGAGTTCAAGACCAGCCTGGACAACATAGTAAGACTGTTTCTATAAAAAAAAATAAAAGTAAAAATTTTAGTCAGGTATGGCAGCACGCACCTGCAGTTCCAGCTACTTGGGAGGCAAAGGAAGGAGGCTCGCTTGAGCCCAGAAGTTCAAGGATGCAGAGAGCTATGATTGCACCACTGCACTTCAACCTAGGTGACAGAGAGATACCCTGTCTATAAAATAAAATAATAAAATTTAAAGACAGGTTGTGGTAGCAAGTAATGAGGATTTCCTAGGTGTGAGTTATTAATTCAGACTACATTTTCTAAAGGGAAAGCAGAAAATTCAATGAAGGAAAGCCAGCCATTAGAATGTTGAATCAAAAAATCACTGCTTCCTAGTAAAAAGTTGAAAAGTTGACAATGCTCTATAACATAACTTTTAAGTGATGGCTAAAAAGACTTGGAGGAAACATAGATAAGACATAAAAGACAAATAAAGAGAGATCATTACATATTAGAAAAGAAAGAAACAACATTGTACCAATGTGACAGAGCATTAAATTTTCTTTTTTCACCCAATTTTCTAAATTAAGTTTAATAAGTACACATTAAAATAAAGATAATTAAATATCAATATCTTCCAAAAAAATTACACTAATAAAAATTCTCCATAGACTTATGGAGTAGGGGAGGACTTCAGTTTTTAAATGTTCTTGGATATTATTTTATTAACTCACATGAGTCCCATGACCAATCACCCTGAAAAGTCATCCTCCAAGCTGAATTGGAACATTTTCTGTGTTGAAAAAGCTATTCCTTCACAGGGAATTATTCTAATTATGAAAATCTATAAACAGTATAAAGATTTTTTCTTAGATTAAATAAAAAATAAATTATATTTATTTTACACCACATTTTAATTTATTCCACCAAGACCTATTTTATAGTTTAATACCCTCAGATATGGAAGTTTTATGTGTGTGTGTGTGTGTGTGTGTGTGTGTGTGTGTGTATCATAGTTTTTGCCCATTAAATCTGCCATTCTCTGCCCATTTAATCTTATATTCTCCAGTCTAAACATCTTCAGTTACTTTAAATGTCCCTCAAGTAGTATGGTTTTCATTTCCATCCAACATGCTAGGCAAAGCATGATAAATATAACTTTTGGGTAAAACATCATAAAATCAGGCATCAGAGTCAGATATTAGAGTCTTATTCTGGAATAGTGATGCTATAATAAGGATTGGCATTAAACTACTGTTGGGAGCTAGACTTCCATATCACAGTTGAATCTTATGTTTACTAGTGGGCTGCGCCTCAAGTCAGATTACATCAGCCTTTAACAAATATGTTGAACAGGGAAGGGCCAAGGTACAAACCCTAAGGCAAACAATCCTGTTAACTGATACCCATTCATCTCTCTTCCATTTTAGGTATACTCCTACATCACTAGAAATCTACCCCGTTAACCTACAGTCCTTAATATTTTCCTTAAGGATAGCACAAATTTATTTTTTTATTCCTACCAAATCTTTTCGATCTTCCAGCTTAGTGATATCATTTTAAAAATGGCAGGATACTGGTTTTAAATAGCTATTTTTCACGAATTCTCATCTACTTCCAGTGACTCGTCAGTAAATCCTCATACATCATTTGATTGCTTATAACTTTCCAAAATTTTTAACCAGATTTAAGGGCAAGCTCATGGGTCATAGATTAAAGCTTTTCATCTTTTTGTGAAATTCAAGCATTTTCAAGAATCAGCCTTCTCCATTATATTTTAACTTTTAATACAATTTGCATGTGTTCCTGTATTACTTATGTAAATAAAAATGCATTTTGATAGGGGAAAATTTACAATGATAATGTTTATCTTGTTTCTATGAAGATGGTAGGTCAAAGAGGTATACACAGGTAGAGTGTTTTATTTTTAACATGCTAAGCTACAGCAAATTGTTAGTGCTATTAACTATAAAAGACATAATTTATATCTATTAAGAAACAACAACTACAATCCCTTTTCCCATTGCTCATAAAAATTTAACATTTGCTAATACTTACCTATTTTACAAGGCTTAGGAATTTTAAATTGAATTGGTAATTAGAATGTTGCTATTACTTAAAAGTAGATCAAAGGACTAGAACCCCACAAGAAAGCAGTCATCAGAGAATAGTCCTTGGCTTCCTTACTAGGAACTATTGGGTCTCCTTTGTGGAATTACATTTCTGTTTCCCATTCGCTGTGATTCAGTGGATGAAACCTCTGTTCTTCCCTCATTACTTTGATGGGCTCTTTGGCTCATGGGAAGTTTCCCTCAGCTAATGAGAGTAAAAAGCATTTGAATACTGTTCAGAGCTATGCAAATGTAACATATTTACAGTAACCTCACAAATCAAGCTCAGAGGAGGATCCTGTGAAATTTTAGAGATTGCAAGGGAGGCAAACAAAAGTCCTTAGTGAAGAATTGGCCTGCCTAAGATTATACTCAAAAGAACATCAGGTCCATTTGTCCCTATTCCCAAAAGTTTTGTCCCTATGTTGATTCTTGTCTTTTATATGTGTTTTATATCATATCTTTCATCTAACACTTCAGAGTAAACTATTTTAAGAGAAAATTTAGCGTGTTTCTTGTTAAAAGTTAAACGTCCTGAGCTAAAGGCAAATAGGATACATTTTGCTCTTAGTATATTTTCTTCAAGTCAATTTTCTCCATTCTAAACACATTTTTACCCACTGTCTATCTTCTCCACACTCAAGTTATAGAGTTGTTGATTCTACCCATCTAATAGGCAAAACATCCCTTGAAATTTATTCATCTGAACCATAACTGAACCATAACATATAGATACACATTTTAGACTAAATTTTCCAGATAATAGAAATAAAATAATTCCACTAACTAGACGATCAAGTGGAATTTGGGGCATCTGCAGGCAGGATAGCATGCTTTCTATGTACAATCCTGGAAAGCAGATCATACAGCAGCTGTCAAATCAATCCACACATAAGTGAGGCTTTTGAAGTGAGGCACTGCGTTCAATTTCACAGACATTTCTTTAAAGCCTCTAAAAACTCTATATTATTATTATAAACAACCATTTTAAAGATCACAGTATCATAAAGGACAAACAAGTTGCTGAAAATCACTTAGCTAGTAAATGAAGAAGCATCTCTCAAATATAGTTTTGCCTGGCGACAGGGTCCAGATTTTGTTTTTCCTCCAGCTTTTATTTTAGGTTCAGGGGGTCCATGTGCAGGTTTGTAAAATGGGTAAATTGCGTGGTGCTGGGGTTTGGTACACAAATTATTTCATCACAGGGTCCAGATTTTTAACATTGAAGACGTATTACCAAAATCTGGGCTGCATAAGAAGAATCTTTTTTTTTTTTTTTTTTTTTTTTTTTTGGTCTGAGTTATATATGTGTTTGTCCTTTTTATTTTTATTTTTATTTTTTTTATGTTTTTTTTTTATTATACTCTAAGTTTTAGGGTCTTATAAGAAAACATTTCTTTAGAAACAGTCGACTACTAAAGGTCAACCTTGTCACAAAACTGTATATTCTTAGAAGAATCTTGAAATTATTTCTTAAACAATTTTTGTGGTTATATAAACAGCTTTATTATAGACTGGTAAATACTTCTATACTGTTAAGTAGTACTAATTACTATGGTACATTTATTATTACAAAACTAGAAAAAGTGCATCAAAGCACAGAATAATTCAATTGGACTCTTCAAATGTAGGGATTACATAGCAGCATGTTGATAAGTTTTTAACAACCAGCCTTCCAAAAAGTCGAGATTTATAGCGTTAACCTATTTGTGTGGTATTAATACTCCCTTCGTTGCCTACTTCAAACTTTCAAGGGGATATCATTGACATAGACTTAGGAAGAGACCTGAATGATGAGCTCTCATGTACTGGAAAAATCCAATAATACAAAACTTATTATTGTTTGATTTTTTTTCATTTTCAGGATTTTTTTACAGTCATCACATTTAAATTTCAGAAACTAAGTCACCCAGAAAAGAAAGGCTTATCAAGAAGTATCCAGTGTATTGATGCTTTTGACAATTCTCTGCATCATAGGGTTAGTAGTTCTACCAACAGGGCAAAAGGAGAAAAATAATCTGCATACTAGTGACACATTATGATCTCTTCACCCATTTCAATATGGTAATAATTTTTAAATAAATTTAGAGTTCCTAGTTTTCCCATGGTGTTCCGTTAGTGATACACACACACACACACACACACACACGCACATATATATATAAAAAATACTGAACATATATATGTATGTATCTTTTTTAGTGAAAGCATAATAATTAAGACTTATTAAGTGCTATGTTCCTGCCATTGTTTTAACTACTTTGCAATTAACCCTTAGTGCTTCCAACTATCTCATAAGATAGTATTATTATCCTCATTTTACTGGTATGAAAAGTGACACAGAAAGGTAACACAACCGGCCCAACTCCACAGAGATAATACATGGCAGATGTGGGATCAAGCCCAGATATTATGACCCTAAAGCATATGTTCTCAACCCATCTTAAAATAAGAATATCTAATTTGAGGTTAACCCTTTTTAAAATAGGTTATTACAAATTTATATTCATGCTAAATCCTGAATATTTAATTGCATTTATTTTCCTGAAAAGATATTTTCAAACATATACATTATAATATAGATTTTGCACTAAAAATATTTAGATCAATTAATATGCTGACATAAATTATGTAAACATGAAGAAACAGAATATTAATATAACCTGGAAACAGCTGACAAAATATAGCTTTCCCAACATTTTAATTGCAACTAAACTATCAAACTCAATTTTGCAAATTTTAACCCAAAAAGCAACATTTGATGTAGTTATTTGTAGGTGAAACCAGAACTTTTGAATAAAGTCCAAATAAAACCAAATGCAGCCATTAACCAACTGCTTGCTTTTCCCAAAATACTAATTAAGGTTTTCCAGAATTGTGCAAAATCCATCAAGTCATCCAAGTTATTTTTCTTATTAGGCCAGCCTACAGCTAGAATTAACAGTGACGTGCTTTCTTTCTCTCTGTTACAGTACATCTGCAAGAGCATGGTCTGATTAAAGCAATCAATTGAACTTCAAAATTAAGTAGTTGAGTTCAGTGCTGGGGAATACTCCAATATATAAGTGTACAATTTATCCTTTTCTTCATGAGAATTCTTCCTTCTAGGCACACATACACATGCACACACACACACACACGTAAGTTTATATAGAATAGCAATTCTCTGTTCAGTACTTCCTCTCAGAGGATGCTAGAAGAGGTATGGTATTTCACAGTTTCCACTGTGCCTGTCACCCTCACTTGACTTCTCAGCTTGCCAGACTCATAATAGAACACGATATAATAATAGTCATTAACAGACACATGTGATACTCTCTGCTCAAGTATTCACTCACAGCTCATTCACTTCAATAGCTTTAAAGAAAAATCTTCCAATTCATGCTCTCCATTACTGTGTTTTCAGCTTCAGAAAACCACACAGATTTCAGAGGTTAGAACACTGACCTACAAGCCACAAGAAAGAATGAACACGGGGCCAGGTATTCTCTCTTCGCCCCTTCAGAGCCAACCTCTGTCTTCGCCATACCCTGCCGTGTGTGTGAGGAAGCCGACCTTTGTGGACTGTCTCAGCAAGTGCCCTTTCCCTCAGGCCGTCAGTGGGTTCAACACTGGGAGAAATCAGTAGAAGGTGAGAGGATGGTCAGGATATTTTCCTCTCTGCTCCCTGGCTTCTAAGCCACAGCTGGTTGGTTGCATCAGTCTAGTAAAAGGTCTTGTCAGGTAGCCATTAGCTTCTCACTCCAGGTTTCATAACTTGGAACCTGCTTTTCTTCTATTGGTCTAGAGGTGGTAATGAGCTATTGGAACTACCATTAATCCGCAGGCTCTGCACTCTCTCTTGTTCCCTAAATTTTTCCCCCTCATTTAAAAACAAGCCACTTTATTAAATTCTATCTAATTCCCTAGCTAAGGGGGACAGGGACTCTGACTTATCCACCATACCCTACAGATCTCATACCCTTCTAAATGGGAAATATGTTGACCTGAGAGGTATTTTAAAACAAACATATGAGAAGATGCAATTATAGTATTAGTTACAGTTTACTCATTGCCTCAATAGATATTGTTCATCCAAGGCTAATTGGATGACTTTTACATGTACACTAGGGCTAGGAACTAATGAGTGTGAAACATGCCACATTGTTAGGAAATACAGTATGAGACCTTTTTCGTTTGGATTATTGCTGGTTCTGAATAACTTTTGGTGCAGGTTCAATTTTGAGCGAAACACTCAGAGACTTGAACAGTGACATTTTTATGAACATGTTAATATAGGTGTTAGGAATTCTATTATAAATATTTTCAGAGAAATCTAAGAAAGTATAATTTGTTGATCTCTCCTTGGCTCTGCAATATGTTGCAATTTTAAATTTTCATGAAAAGAACTATTTTTAATAAAAGCTGGGATTATAACAAGATGATCTATGGCCAAATCAAGCCAAAAGTATGTTTTGGGCATAAATTGCCCTAAAACATTTGGGTTTTTTTTATTTGAAAGTGTCACATTAGAATATAAATATCTGGCTTTTCTTTAAAAGGTAGAAGGGTTAGCAATACATGGTCTACAATCTAGTAAGGGAAATTGACCTGGGGCTGGGTTGTAGATGTAGTTTTGAAACTAAGCATGCTCCTTCAAAGTTCCCACAGTGTCCATCATTTCCCATTTCTTATACCAAGTCTGATCACTTTTAGTTTACCTGCATGTGGCTACAATCACTTTAGTTTGTGACTCCAGGAAATGCCATTTTCTCTAATATGTTCCTTAAAACCATGTTTATAATTCCTAATATCTACATCCAGGAGTCAATGAAGGTCCTTTTTGTAAAGGGTCAGACAATAAACATGTTAGGCTTTGTAGGTTACATGCTGTCTGCTTTGGTATTGCAGCACAAAAGCAACCATACATAATAAGTAAACAAATGACCCTAGCTGTAATTCAATAAAACTTTATTTTAAAAAATGATGCATGGTCAGCTGAATTTGATCCATGGTCCTTAATTTGCCAATTCCCGGTCTAAAAAATCAGATAAACTGGAATATATCACAGCAAAAGATAATGTGATATATATCCTGGAATTTTCATTTATAGATTTAATATTTTATGAAAAGGAAGTGGGAAGGCTTAAGGATAAGTGAGGTGGCAGAATCCAGGATAAGGCTGGTGGGATGAACTATTAAGAGTATGTAAATCCTGGGAATAAAAAGTTTGCCTGGATTGGGGATATGAGTACCAGTGAGTTTTCTTAAGGTACCAACCCTAGGAAAAGTAGCTCATGACAATGGCTTAAGTTGTTCTTCATTTTGAAAGTCTCATTTCCTATCTGAAAACTTTTCACAAGTAACAGGGGTAGTTCCAATGTCTTCTGTAAAAATAAAAGGTGTTGACTTTTTAAATGTCTATGAACCATATAGGCAAAAAAGAGAAATTCAGCCTTGATATCAATTATCAGAGCCATAGGTTCAAGTGATGTTGAAGTAACATTGAGTTGGGAAAAATGATCCTGAATTTTTAAAGTCAGCTATTGAATTACGTGAAAGCTCTCAGCTATCTTGTTTGTAAAAATGATAATTGTTAAAATAATTGTGCTAGACAGCATTGGCCCCAGTCAGCGGCCAATTTTAACCACTGATTAAAGTACATTACTAGTTTTCTCCTACAAAATTCAGGCACCAAGTTTTTTGTTGGTTGACATCAACTTGGAACTCTCCTTGGTTCTGAAATCTAGTGTTTTAATGCTCTTAAGGAATGTAGGAGACTACATGAAGAAAAGACATTGAAAAAACATTGTATGAAAAATAGACAATCATGATTTTGGTATAAAACAAGATTATATATAAAGATAGTATATGTAGGAAAGTCCAAATGCAATTATTTCAGTTTTTGTCATGAGCATCTCTAAAACTGAAGGCAAAGAGCATGTTTTATTCATCAAACAGGTGTATCTTCAGTATGCACTATGTTATAGCATTCATTTGTTCTTTCATCTATTCATTTGTACATTTAATTTTCAACATGAAATGCTCCTTGAGCACATACCATATTCTATGCAACATAATAAACCCTGGTCTTTTTAATTTCAGAAAACAAAATGAATTGCATGCTTTGATAGAGAAAGGACATGTACAGAAAAATCATCCCTGAGAAAGAGATATTTAAATTGAAGTATCAAAAATAAATTGAAGCAATCCAATCAAAAGTATAGTTAGTAGGGCATAAGTATTTCTGATAAAGAGAATGGAATATGTAAACACTTTTGCACAAAAAAAGAGGAGACGTAGGCAACGAGGTTAGTGAAGAATGTATCTTCCTTAAAGCCAGTTTGGGAGCAACTGGGTAAATTCTTATATTCAGAATTTAGGTAAAACCAACGCAGCTGACAGCTTGACGCTGTAGCATACACCACTCTATAATGTCAGTATTTATTTCTACAAATTTGTTTTATATACAGGAGTTGGTGTCATGTTGCCTAAGTAGAAATAATATGATGCTAGCTTCCAATCTTTTGTAACTTCTTATTATTATTAAACTTTTAAGTTATGGGGTACATGTGCAGAATGTGCATGTTTGTTACATAGGTATACACGTGCCATGGTGGTTTGCTGCACCCATCAAGGAATTTCTCAAGCAATTGTATTAACGTGTAAAACTCACATTTAACATCAAAGATCAAGACAAGATTATGTACATGTCAGTGGAATGCAGATTGTGTTGGTGCATTGATAAATGCTGTTGCAACCCAAATGTTCTAAACTTAGGAATTAAGAACAGGCAATGAAAACTGAAACATTGCCACCATGCAGAAATTGACATGGGGAAACTCAGGCGAAATCTACATTAGAAACAACTTTACGGAACCTGCAGTAGTATGTATAAAAAGAAAATACTACAAATTTTTGGCATAGTAAAAGTAAATGATGTTACTGCTGCTAGCAATGGATGAATTTTAGGAGATCTGAGACTATTATATTAGATTTTATTTTAGAAAATTACATCTATGAGCATGTATACATTTTTCTAGAAGGAGTGATAATTCCTAGTTTTATCATTTCCCCATAACTTTATGGACCATTGTTCCTAAGAATAACCCTTGAATATCATGAATATAAATCCCAGTTTAAGACTGCATCCTGTACCCAGTAACTACAGACTTAGAATTTAGTATGGTTATTGAAGAAATTAACAAACTTCTAAAACTGGACATACTTGTTTATAAACTATCGTTAATTAAAATGACAATTAGATACCTAGAGATAGAAACCACTAAAAATAACCCACTTTAATAAAGACTGAAAAGAAAGACATTTCTTGCTTAAATTATATGTTCCTTTAGAATGACTAGTGGCATATTAATTTTAATTTTTACTGGAAGTTGTTACGCAAAAATATCACATATAAGTAAAATTATATTTGCATGTTATGAAGCATAAGAAAATTAACATTTGTAAACCCTTCACCCAACTTTGGCGGGCGCCTGTAGTCCCAGCTACGCGGGAGGCTGAGGCAGGAGAATGGCGTGAACCCGGGAGGCGGAGCTTGCAGTGAGCCGAGATGGCGCTACTGCACTCCAGCCTGGGTAACAGTGAGACTCCGTCTCAAAAAAAAAAAAAAAGAAAAGAAAAAGAAAAAAAAAACATACCATGATTTATGTCACATTGCCTTTTATAAAACTAAAGTGAGTAAGAACTTCAATAAACCACTTTTCAAAGTACTCTGCCGCATGTTAATACAAAATATTCCTCTGGCTGAAGATAACTAGCTACTTCTATCTTCTCACAGAGGACATCTTTATCAACCAGCAAACATACTTCAGTAAAAACAGCTTACCATAAATGCTTGACTCAATTTTCTAGTTGCTGATAAGCTGTAAACATTAAAGGGCAGACGTAAAAAATCTTTTGAAAACAAATATAGTTAGATATTCTTTGCTAATTTCTTCTATAACTTGACACATATGCAAAAATGTTTGATTCTGTAGCATTTCCTCTTACATATTTCTCTAGTCTCAAAAGACAAAGTACTCTCACTCCCATTATAAAATTAAATAAACAAAATAATTAAAATTTTAATATATATTTAGCTTTAATTTGGTATGTCATGAGTTTCAAATATGTTAGGTAACATTTTAGTTTCATTATTTCTAGTGAATAATGAAATGGAAACTAACATAACAGACGTTTTCAGTTTTTATTTTTATTTAAAATTTGACCATAATTCTCAAGGACATGTATCATTTAAAGTTATAGCAAAAGCTAAGGCAAAAATTTGCAAATGCATTGTTTATTTCAGCTAAATGCATGATGCTTATGTTCAAAGGCATGTTCTATTTTGCTATTTTGCTGTGTTTGAGAGCAAAATAGGACATGCCTTTGAATGTAACCATCATATAATTTTTTATCAATGGTTTTAGTGGAATATGTTTCCCTTTCTGGTTGAATAGGTTTAAACACTACCTAGAAATTTTTAAGTTCTGAATTAAGAATGTACTTGCAGCTACACATTTAGTCCTCAAGCTTTCACCCACTTCCATATATTTTCTTTTTTAATGGAGCTTGAGAAGATGGACAGACAAAGAATAATACAAATAAATGTACTTTATTTGGAGGACATATGTATTCTCAAAAGTGACATGTTTTTGGCTCTGTTCATTTACTTTCATTATTCAGCTATGGATTAAAATTAAATAGTAGTAAACTTGGATTATGTGGATTCTTATACTTAATGAATTCCACAAGTTTTGACAAAGTATTCACCATATATTTTTATATGTTTTGGTTAAAGAGACATGAACTTCATAATGCACAAGCTTTTGAAAAATATATTAATGGTAGTAAGAGTTTATCTATAGACTGTAATGGAATTTTCTTAATCCTTGGCTATACATAAGTTTACTCAAAATTCAGTTCAGTGCATTTGTTTGTCTAAACTTGTGGTTAAGTTCACAAGTAATATTTTTTAGGTTTTGTTCATCATATGGTAAAGTAAGTCTATCGATCTCTATTGTAGACGAAGAGTTGCAATAAAAAAATACCATTTTATTTAAAAAACATTGTAAACATAATGTTTGTACGTAAGGATATAACCTCTTCTAAGCTGAAGAAAAAAAGAGATTTCCTTATGGTAGAACATAAATATTTCAAGATTTTCCCTTCACATGCATGTACCCTCTAAATATTACTGTCACTCACATAAGGGGCATCTAAAGCCACTAGCAACTAAACACAACCAACTGAAGGTTAGTCTACATCAGAAACAAAGTGTTCAATAAACTTGAGCTAGAGGAAATCTAAAATTGCATTTGTATTTAAGAGTGACTATGATTAATCAGAGTCATACAAATTAAATGATGTTTAATTCGGCTAAATGCATAAAGCTTATGTTCATTCTAAAACTCTCTGTTCCAAGATTTTAGCCAGCTGGTCAGATCAGAAAGGTTTCAGTTCTTTTCATATTTTAAACTTGCTATAAATAATTTTTGAATGAATTAAAGTCAGATTGGGATTATCTTTGTTAAACAGCTTATTAGCAATTATTTTCCCAGGAAGCAGAAGAATTTTCGAGAGGCAAAATCTAGTGATAGTCTAGAATCTGAGCATAATTGTTGACATTCCTTCTCTCACTTATCAAACTTCTAAGGGAATTGAAAGAATGATCATTTTACATTTGTATTTTCCTTCCCTTAGTAGAGTCTTAGTTGCATTCTAATTTTAATTGTGTAGGGGAAGAACACATATTAAATAAGATACATAAAGGATTTTCTTGAACTCCCTTGGGAATTAAATTAAATGGAGATGTCAATTCCTCTACATTACTCCATCACACAGATATCATCATAAAGTAGGTTTCTGGGATGGCCTAATTTTGGTCTTCCAAATTTCCTCCTGCCAGCTTCAGATGTTTATGCAGCAATTCAGCCATTCTCTCTAAAGGTAACTTAGGGATTCCAAACTTAAAACCAATGATTTTTTCTTCAGACTTGAACACGTGAGCCTTCTCATAGGTGCCTTCCTGTATCTTCTCTTTAAATTTCATAAAGCTAATACACTTCATTTTAAAGTAGAAAAACATTCTACTTTAAGTACCTACATTGGAAGAACATAAATAATTATCCCCCATCATTCTCAGCAAACTATCGCAAGGACAAAAAACCAAACACTGCATGTTCTCACTCATAGGTGGGAATTGAACAATGAGAACACATGGACACAGGAAGGGGAACATCACACACCGGGGCCTGTTGTGGGGTGGGGGGAGGGGGGAGGGGGGAGGGATAACATTAGGAGATATACCTAATGTTAAATGATGAGTTACTGGGTGCAGCACACCAACATGGCACATGTATACATATGTAACTAACCTGCACGTTGTGCACATGTACCCTAAAACTTAAAATGTAATAAAAAAAATAATTATCCATATGTTCCAAAGAACAGTTTAACTTCAAATATATGCTTAAGAAATCACAATAGCTTACCTGCCAATAAGCAAGTGATTCATCTAATTACTTACAATGATCTAAATGTAGATTGATTCAAAATGGGCCAACTGTTTTGGTCATATGATCATTACGATCAGAATATCTAGCACAAAAATAATATATTGTTAAGGACAGGTCTTCTAAAGGCAGTGTGACTGGGTTTGAGGTACAGCTCCATGGCTCACTAAGGTTACAAAATAGTATCCATTTCATTAATATTGCCATGAGGAACAGTGAAATAATCCATGTAATGGTACAGTCTTCACCATGTATAAGTATCTATCTATGGTTATTGTTGTGTTCGTTGAAACTTTCACCAGTCTTCAAATACAGTAACTCAGTTTTAGAAGTAGACACTGTGCACAATAATCTATAATTTGAAATCTGCTTCTTTATTCCCAAGGAAATAAGAGTTTTTGAGTGTTGATTGGAAGTGTGCTATATGACATATTTCTTGAGAAAAGCAGGGGTAGTCAGGCTGAAGAAGAATTAGACTCAGATTTTTTTTTTTTTTTTTAAGTTCTGGGATGCATGTGCAGAATGTGCAAGTTTGTTACACAAGTATACGTGTGTCATGGTGGTTTGCTGCACCTATCAACCCATCATCTAGGATTTAAGCCCCACATGCATTAGGTATTTGTCCTAAGGCTCTCACTCCCCTCACTCCCCACCCCCCGATAATGCCCTGTTGTGTGATGTTCCCCTTTGTCCATGTGTTCTCATTGTTCAATTCCTAGTTATGAGTGAGAACATGTGGCATTTGGTTTTCTGTTTCTGTGTTAGTTTGCTGAGGATGATGGTTTCCAGCTTCACCCACGTCTCTGCAAAGGACATGAACTCATTTTTTATGGCTGTGTAGTATTCCATGGTATATATGTGCCACATTTTCTTTATCTAGTCTATCAATTATGGACATTTGGGTTGGTTCCAAGTCTTTACTATTGTAAATAGTGCTGCAATAAACATACGTGTGCATGTGTCTTTATAGATTTATAATCCTTTGGGGATTGCTGGATCAAATGGTATTTGTGGTTCTAGATCCTCGAGGAATCACCACACTGTCTTCCACAATGGTTGAACTAATTTATACTCCCACCAACACTGTAAATGTGTTCTTATTTCTCTGAGTCCTTGCCAGCATCTGTTATTTACAGACTTTTTAATGATTGCCATTCTAACGGTATGAAATGGTATCTCATTGTGGTTTTGATTTGCATTTCTCTAATGACCAGTGATAATGAACTATTTTTCACATATTTGTTGGCTGCAGATGTCTTCTTTTGAGAAGTGTCTGTTCATATCCTTTGCCCACTTTTTGATGGGGCATTTTTTTCATGTAAATTTGTTTAAGTTCCTTATAGATGCTGGATATTAGACCTTTGTCAGATGGAGAGATTGCAAAAATTTTCTCCCATTCTGTAGGTTGCCTGTGATTTTAAGGTCTTTATGTATTTTATGTTTTAGTCTCATCAATGCTGATAAAAACCCTCTAATTTTAATTAAGTAACAACTCACTGTATTTCTTTTATTTATTGACATAATTTACATTTGGCAAAATCTATAAATCTTAACTGTATCACATGATTAATATTCATATGTGTATGTGTGTGTATATTTATGTATATGTCTACACCAACAAAATCAAGAGATAAAACATTTCCATCTCTGCTAAACTTTTGTGCCCTATTATGGTTAAAATCTTCCCACTGGAATAACCTCTATTCTGAGTTCTATCATAATGGATAGGTTTGCCTTTTCTTGAGCTTCACTTAAATATATTTTTAGAGTAGGAACTATTTTAATTTTGTTCCCTCAGAATGTTTTTAAGATTTATTCATATTGTAGTGTACATCAATTTGTGCATTAATTACTGTTCAGTATTCTATTTTTGACTCATCAAAATTGTTTATTTTATTGTTGATGTATACTAGGGTTGTTTCCAGATTTTTGCTACTATGAATAAAGCTCCTATGAATACCTTCTTTTGGCAATTTTATATACCGATGCACTTGTATCTCTAGGATATATACCTAGAAGTAGAATTGCTGGTTTATAAGGAAGACATATATTTACAGGAAATTGTCAAAGAGTTTTCCAAAGTGATAACTTCATCTTTACATTCCACCAATAATATACGTGCACACCAGCTCTTCCATATCCTTGCCAACATTTTGCATTATTAGTCTTTTTAATTTAAATAATCTGGTGGGTGCCTAAGGGTATTTCAGCATTGTTTAATTTGCATTTCCATGATGCCTAGCGATACTGAGTAGTTTTCCATATATTTTGTCTTCTTAATCACTATATCAAAACAATCCACATTTTGTAACGTATTTATAAAGTTATAGCTTATATAATCATTATAATATGAATATGTGACCGGATGAAGGACTGGATAAACCTGTGCCATATAGGTTAATATGAAAAATATGGGAAGGAGATGGAATACGTTGGTAGAAAAAAAAAATTGAGGTAGGGCCCATGAACTTAATAAATAGAAACCTAAGTGTCGTTTAGTTGCAGAATCCCTATGAATTCAAATTAAACTGCATGTTTCTCTAAACATATGCAAATACAAAATGAATTTCTCCATTAAAAATGCTTTTACATAGCAATTTTATCTCAATGTTGTAAGTCTTCCCATTCATTTATTTTATTATCAATAAAAATTTCTTTAAAAATGGTTTTTGGAAAAAGTTGACTTTTTAAGTCTTTAAGCTATACAAGGCATATTTCTGAACTGAAGTTGTAACCCTCTTTGCAAAATCAGTAAAAATATCCCTTTGAAAAATAAAATAAAGTATTGAATTTAAATATGAGGAGGAAAATACAGTCAAAGCTAAAAAATATGGGGTTATATTTTTTCAAAAGTGTTTTAAATAATAAAATACATTATAAAATATTCAATGAAGCAATTAAAAACAGGATTATTTTTCCAAATAGAATATTTTAAAAGATTTTTGTGAGATGCAGATATCTTTGAGTATATTAGCTGCTTTTAATCACACTTAAACACAACAATTTATCAAAATATCTTACAACCAACATTATCACGTTCATTATTATTTACATACTCTTGTTTTTGCTTTCAGTCAGAGTATTTGTAAAATGAGTTTAGGGATGTTTTTAAAGAGTAGCTTCATCAGCATATTTAATACCTTGTATAAATTTAATATATTATGCAATTTAAATTTGCATTTGTAATGTAAGTGCTACTATTTAATATCAATTTTGAAAATAAGCAATTAAAATGAAGAGTATCCACCACTTTATGTTCTTATACCCTAAAATAATTATGATAAAATATTCACATTTCTTATTTCTAAAAACTAAACATGAACCATAATGACAATCAATATATCCAAAATGGACTGGCCATTTACTGAATTTCTAAGTCTTTATTTACTTTTTTATATTTCTTACTTACAGTGTGTAATGTAAAGAGTATTTAATTTGTTTATTGAAATATAACAGAAAGTATATCATAAACATTATAAATAATTATTTGGGTATATAAATATATTATGTATGTACCTAAATATAGTATTACATATAATGTGTCTTACTTAATATCTTGTATTAAATATATTATATTTATTAGGCCTAACTCTAAATATATTAATTTGAATATGTACACCTATGTACATATATATTTAAATGTAAACAGTATGTATGCAAATAACACATTACTTCTTATATATTCTACTTTGAACGTTGTTAACATGGCTTTTTAGAGTAATTCTATTTAATAGTAATGGATAATATTCGACAAAGAAGTCTGGCTTAGATTGAAATCTAAATATGCAAATAAATATTGGGTGTGTTTCAAACTTGGCAAAATTAATTATCTTGACTAATGACAGAGATAAGAAAAAAAACAATGCATTACATTCTATTAGGATATCTAATAGCCAAAGCAATTTTAGATTAGATTAATTAGAAAAGCGTGGGCATTTTAATTATATCAGTGTAGAAACAAAGTGATATCAACTTAGTATTTTCAATCATGACAACAGATCAAATTAGACAGGGTATTTTGCTTCAGAAGATTTACACAAACAGATCATGGCATGAAATAAGCTTGGGGATGAATTAGATTTTTGCAGAGATTAATTGCAACATTAACTAAACTAAACAAAACCAGTATGAGGCAAGATCACAGGAGTGGGTCTAATCAATTTTGAGTGAATTTAAAGTAGTAATATTTGATGGATTTGATTTTAAAAACATCTGTCACATGCATTTCCCAGAGTTACTCCTGCTGCTTCATCGCATCTACCTAGAGAAATCACTCTGGGTATTCAACAATATAGTTCAAGACATGATTAGATTGGTGACAATGCCATTGTCTTGGAGAACCAATAGGGCAGAGGTTTTCCAATTGAGTTAGCCTGCAGGGGAAGCATATGGGAAAGTTAGACTTTTAATGCTGAGCATCTGGTTCAGAGTATCTGAAAATGTGATTGCTGTTTTAAAATTTACAACATATCTAATCATGAAATTTTAACACAACCACTAAATGCCAAAAATGTTGTCTGTCTTGTTACTAACATATATGAAGAACAGACAAACTTATGCCGCCATCCATGACCTATACAGATAGAGAAACATGCATTGGTACAAAACTCCAACATATGGCCTAAAAAAAAAGTCACCTAACTTCCAAACCTGAATTCAGAGTTTTAACAATTTCTTGCCTTCACTTTCTCTCTTTTTTGTTTTTACCCTAAATCTAGAACCACTGACACCACTTCAGCATAACCAACTTAGTGACACAGTTTTAGTGTCTTATTGACACCATCATATGTAGAGTAAATCCCAGGCTTCCAATGGTAATGCCAGGGAAAATTTAATATAATGACTAAGGATTCTGGACTTCGAGGAACATTCCTGATTTTTATTATGTTATATCCATCTTTTATTGAAACAATGGGTTTCAAGCATCAGAAAATAATAAAAGCTTATAAATACATTTATAGGATATCATCTTATGTTTTTCAGGCTGAGTTTTAAATAAATAAGAAAGACATCATGCTTCAATACATAGGATCAACATATGGTCAACTCAGATATATAAAATTCCTCCCAGCACTCACAAATATTGTGAAATTAGGATATTGTGGTACTGTGAGATGAGGAATCCACAGAGCGGCATGAGGATGATTAATGATGATGATTAGAGTATTCTACTCTCATCATCTTAACCTAAATGTTCAGGTCTACTTTTTACAGGTATGTTGAAAGATATGTTTCCTTCTTTAATATAAGCTAAACTTCTCAGGTTAGAAATACGGGTTGTGAGTTTTAATATACACTATTTTAATTAGTGATTCTGACATTATTGATGCAAGAAGAAATTCATTTGTAACCTGTTTAAAAACCAGTGCTACTATTGCTTTTGCTTTCTGAATAAATCAAAATTAGTACCTTTTTTCAGTACTGATAAAGCATGTATTGAGAATTTTTTTCTAAATGTATATTTTACAATTTCTATTAAGAGCTGTATGTATAGTGTATTCATCCATTCATTTATTTACAAAGTTTTTGAGTAATAATGGCATACTTCAGAAATGTGGCCAATGGTACTAAAATGGCTCATTTCAAAAAAAGTTACACAGCTTAAGATATTTTACACTTATGTAATATTTAATATGGATATATTTGAAATCCTGATAATTCACTTACAAGTAAAGTTTTACATTGCAAGAACCCGTTACGTAGAACAAAAAAGGTTTCTAATTATTTTCCCCAGAGAATATATTCTTTTTTGAAAACAGATAAATTCTACCAGACAGAAACATATCTTGGAGTAATGGAAATGTTTAAAAGTTTCAGTTTCCAACCACTTCCATGGAAGCAAATTAAATGGAAATTACTGAGATACCAACAGAACTATAATTAAGTAGAATAGATACTAGTGATCAATGGTAAAAATGGTCCACAAGTCCGCGAAATAACTGAGCAAAGTGCTATCAATAAACATGAAAGTGTGATCTAAGTCTGTTGAATGAAATTCATTAGCAGAGCAATTTCAACAGATATTCAAAACAAATCACAAAAAGATATTTTCTTATTATAGTCAGATTTCTCAGGAGACAGTCCTAAAAATATGTCTATGTGATTCAGAAGCATTATTTAGTAATATTATGCACAAATTCTGGTGTTGCTTCATAGTTTCAATCTTGGAATAGTAAAATCTCTCTCATCCTTACATAGCATATTTGCAGGTGAATTTGGCTTAAGTGATTATTTAATGGTTTCATTCTGAGTTCCCAAATCTGAAAGTCAGCTGGTCAAATCACCAGCATTTGAATGAGCCCAAAGGCGGTTTTTAGGTCACAAAGTTGAATGGGAATGACTTTATGTCTTGAGCTCCCAAATGGCCCTATCACCCATCATTTGCTACTATATTTTATAACACTGAGCACTTCATGTTAATGTTCATATTAATTTCCTGGTCCTTAAGCCTCTGAGCTTGTAGCTACTTAATGGAAATTTTGGGAACATAAATTTCCCAAATGTTGGTTCACATATTGGAACAAATAAATGTGTAGTTTGTGTAATTATATATTATTTTATATGTATGTGTGTGTATATATACACACAGAGAAAAAAATTACAGGAAGTTTAGTTTTTATTCTCAAGCCTGTAACTTGTCACTGACTCTCAGTATATTTTACTTAAAATTTAATTGTTCACTGTGATTCCAAATTAGGTTTCCCTCCTTAATAAACACAGTTGCTACCTCAGCTCTTATTTAGTTCCAGACAATATATTTTGATGGATTTCTTCTATAAGTTGTCTATTTTTGTCAAGTAATGGGGCTCTCCATGGAGCTGGCATTTCAAAGGAAACTAATTATATTTGTGGTTTGATTGCTCATTTAATTGGCTGACATTCACGTCTAAACCTACCGTAAATTTACTATAAAATTTATCATTGTCATCTTGGGTTTCTCTACAAGTAACCAACCACACAGCCCTAAATTATCATAGCCATTATAATTCAACCTCAATGCTTTTCCAACAAAGACTAGATATTTAAGTCCAATAAGGCCAGATGCAAATAATTTTGTTCTATGTATAAAGCTTGGAGTACATACAAACTTCAGCCAGGGGTTTTTACAGTTTTGTTTTCTGCTTTTTGTTTGTTCATTTGTTTTTTAAATCTTCATGGCATTCTTACAGATTTGGTTCGCCATCTACTTCAAATCAGCCTATAGTGATTACTAAGCTTCTGTTGAATATACCATTTCTGATGGTACAACACATGCTATAAAGCAATCTCTTTGGAATCCATGGTCATTACCATTTGTAGAAACGGGAGGCTGCAAAACGTTATGACCATGTCATGCCCTGTTGGAAGTGGATCAGCAGCCACATATTTATTGACAGGTCTCAGAACTTAAGTACTCTACTCAGCGGAACTTACAAGGTCAGAGCAGCTCATAGGTAATGATGAAATTAATTTAAACAGCTGTGCTTACATGATAGTTTGACATCTGCCTTTGTTTCCTGCCTAGCTTGTATGAATGACCAACCTCATTATATAAGTCAAAACTAACAGTATAACATGCAGTAGTTTCATTTTATCAGATTGTTATCAACCTTATCTATCTACAGTTTAGCATTCACGTGGGATTCTTCAGTTCCACATCTCTGTGTTAGAGCAGAATATGTATATTTACCCCAAGTTTACATTTTCCCAGGAAATATTTCTATCACAAAAATACATCTCTAGTTTCTCTTTTGCTAGTTCTTCTATTTTTGCCATCATTTTTCATTTTATTAGGTTGCATTTTCCCTAGTTAAGAATGTATACCCTTGTCTTATACTTATCATTGACCCAGAGGAGAGGAATGGGTTTGAGATGAGCATTGCCATGCTTAAGAATAATTGCTCTAATCAATCTAGGTAGGAGACACCTGACTGGATGCTTCAGTTATGGCTCATATCATTTACAAATCTCACTTTAGCAGGTTCAGAAGATAAATTCTATTTGTTTGTCATGAGACATAAAGCCAGTTTGAATTTTCTGTGATCTTTATGTCAGCAAAATTATTTTTATGTTCCTGTATTAACATAAAGAAAATGAGCATGAAAGCATAATGACTGAAGACACACATATATGTGGACTGCAAAAATGCTAAAATAGCAACCACAGAAATAATCCTATCTGAGTTCTCTTGCCTGATTTTGTCATTGTCTCATCCAGCAACCCCTGAATCTTCTTTAATGAACTGCCAACATAGAACATACTATAGGAATCCCATTGATCCCATACTTCCAACCCATGTTCCAACATTGTAGGTACACAGGGCTTTGTTAATGAGGGAAGACCAGAGAGAAAAAATAAGCGAAGCAAAGGTATAGTATATTACATGCATATTTATATTCATCAAACCCAAATGATGATAGGGATGAAAAATAACCAACAAACAATTATAACACACATTAAGTAAAGATTCTTTCTTTTCTTCTCTGTTTTTGAGACAGAATCTCACTCTGTCACCCAGGCTGGAGTGCAGTGGCATGATCTCAGCTCACTGCAAGCTCCACCTCTGGGGTTCAATCGATTCTCCTGGCTCAGTCTCCCGAGTAGCTGGGACTGTAGGCACGCACCACTTTGCCCGGCTAATTTTTTTCAGTAGAGATGGGGTTTCGTCATGTTGGCCAGGCTGGCCTTGAACTCCTAACCTCAAGAATCTGCCCAACTTGGCCTCCCAAAGTGTTGGGATTACAGGTGTAAGCCACCATGCTCAGCGACAAGATTCTTTATAAGTAGGCATTTCAAACACAGTCTTTGTGTGTTTATCAGTGTGTTACCTGACGTAATATCCATATAGGAAAATTTGGAGATGGTTGGCTTACTTACCTATAATATAAAGTGAAAAAGATGGGAGTGGGAATGAGTTATTCCTAAAATATTCCAATGTCAACAGAATTGAATTCTTCAGTTAAATAGATAACTGCTTCAATTATTTTTTACTATGGTCATAGTTTGTTTCGTGTTACTATAACAGAATACCTGAGACTGGGTAAGTTATGCAAAACAGAGGTTTATTTCTTACAGTTCTAGAGACTGAGAAGTCCAAGATTGAGGGGCCCCCATCTGGCTAGGGCTTTCATGCTATGTCATCCTATGGTGAAAAGTGGAAGGGCAAGAGAGCACAAAAGCAAGAGAGCAAGAAGGGGCTAAATTCACTGTTATAACAAACCTAGTCTCAAGAGGGCAACATTTATTCATTCGTTAGGGCAGAGCCCTCATGACCTAATCACTTCTTACTAGGCCCCACCTGTCAACACTGGTGCATTGGAGATTAAGTTTCCAACATATGAACTTTGGAGAGTACATTGAAACCACAGCAATGATAAAATAGAAACTTCTCTAAAGTGTGTTTCTTCTCATTTGATCCAAGGAGGAATAACCAGATCCTGCACACACAGGCATCTCTGGGCACTGGCACAGGGAATCACACATAATGGAAGGAAGGCAAGAAAAAACAAACAAACAAACAAACAAACAAACAAAAACAGATCTTGAGGAACAACTTTGAGAAGCCAATGTATAAAAGTTCATCTGCAACAGAAACCATCTTACCTCACCCCATTTCTAAATTAGGAGGTATTATTGTTGTGTGGGGAGTACACTGGGGTCTCTGATTCTGTATATTCTTGCATTTTTAAAATCTTTCATAATCACACACAAAAGACAATGCTTAAGAAATTATTCTGCCACCCAAAGAAGTGGTTTTCACAGGATAACTGTGATAAACTGAATAAATAATTCCTTACCAATTCAGAAGCTGCTTTGAGGAAAAAATAGAGAAACACATACACATACACACAGAGAGATTAATTTATTAAAGATTAACATGCAGATGTTTCCTATCTGAAAATGGATTACCTTCAAATGGTAACTGATACGTGAAATTATAGAGGGCTAAGGCCCTTTCAAAATCTGATAAAAGCTCCATATAAAAAGTAGTTTTGGACATACACAGAAAATCATTCACACATTTTCAGGGATTTCACAGACTCCCTAAACCATAAGAAAGATCCCTTAAAACCAGCACTGAAAAGGAACCAAACACATTTCTAAACACTTCATGGCAAATAATTTCACTTTTATACAACATAATAAATGATTTGTCCCATTTCGTTAATGAGAAAACTGGCATTCAATGAGGTTAAGTGACATTTCCAAGTAGTGGTGAATAGCTGAGTGAAATATTGATGAGAGTTGTATATAAAATATATGTATGTAGCATGTATATACAAAAAAATTAAAAGCCTGATACACCTTGTAGACCTTTGACTGTCACAAACATTAAAATGAAGCCAGACACAGAATGGGTTAAATATGAACACTAATCACTCATGCATGCCTTAGCAGAAGGTGAATATTAAAGAGGTGCGTCTCTGTGTATGGTATGTCTGTGATATTATGAAAAACTTGTTTTTGAGATTCGTCTCTTCCAGTTTTCCTAAGCCATGCATGAAAAAAGGGAGGAAAAGTCTCCTTTTCCTCCCTACCTAAAACCTTCACCATAAATTGGAGTCTGAGGCTCCTATCCCTACAACAGGCACTGAGATAGGTATAGAAAGTCTTTGGACAGCCACTCTCTTCTTTCTCTTTCTAAAATAACAAAGGGGACCATCTCCAAGCACCTTACAACTTTCATGATTAATAACATCTAAAACCCATGAACACCACTGAGAAATTACAAAGAGAGCACACAGATGATGAGAGAGAGGGAGTATTTGACCTATTTTCCCACATCTGTGTGGTCCCAACCAAAATCTCTCCCCTTAGATCCACACAGGCTCCGCCACTGACCCCAGGGCCATGTTACTAAGTTCAATGTGTATTACAGATCCAAGAGGAAGGGACCTCTTAGTTTAACAGCATTTTCAATTATGTATCGAATGATTTGCCTTCAATAATCCGTTATTTAATTAAAGGATGGTGATTTCTTGCAGCCTTCTAATTAGTCATTCAGGGTCTGACCATTGAGAAGCCAAGTTGCTGAGGAAATGGAAGAAGAGACACTGGAGAGGACGTCAAGTCACTTTCCACCTCTGCACCCCTGACAGCATTCCTTTTGCTTAGTTAGAATCTGGTTATAGAGGTTTGTTTTCAGCACATTACCAACTTTTCCCCCTAAAGCTATGTACCCTTGGCTCCTACAAAACAAAATATATGTCCTAAGGGTAGAGGTTCCTTTCTTTTTCAAGCAGTCTTGACAGGCAGCCTCCTAATATGTTGGGATCAAAAAAAGAAACACAAAGGAACTTGCCACTTCCACTCCCAGCTTTTATAAAGACCCTGTGCTGATACAGCTCCTCACTGGAGAGCCATTCAGCCTTGCCTATGAATATATCAGGTGCAAATCCATCTTTCCATCATTTCGACCTCTCCCATTTGTCTTTTCAAGGCTAACACTCATTCAAAAATAAACGTTTCTTTTAAATATCTGGCACATGTATACATATGTAACAAACCTGCACGTTGTGCACATGTACCCTAAAACTTAAAGTATAATAAAATAAATAAATAAATAAATATCTGGCATGTGCTTATTATCAAAATTCTGAGAGGAAAAAAAAGGAATGATGCACAGAGTTGTGGTGTTTAATCAGAAATGAGTTGATTTTGAATCTACAAAATGTCAAATAGTACTCATCAGTCTATTGTGAATTATCTCACCATCCTTGATATTCTGGGTCACTTTCCCTATGATAAGAAAAAGGTGGTGCAGCAGTGTCACCTTAACCACAAGAGGCGGCAAGCTGAATTATCTAAAGGGGGCATTTATAATTTCTGTATTGTCAGGTGAATTTCTGTATTGTCAGGGGCATTTATAATTTCTGTATTGTATGTATTAAAAGTATTTTATTTTGAAATTTGACATTTCGTGATGATGAGGATTACTTTTTCCCTCCCAGAGAAGACAGCATCATTTGGGCCAGTCTATCACATGGTAGCTCTCATTCACACTGCCCAGAAAACTTTTTGCTGTATTTCACAATGCAAAAGGCTTAAGCACAAACATAGTGTTAAGACGTGCATAAGCTGGGAAACTAAAGCACATTTACATGTGGCTAGATGAACAATATTAGTGTCATTACTTAATTCTTCCAACTCTAGACACTAAGTGTTAACAATAAAGTAATTGCAGTTTGGAAAAATCTTCTCATCTCCTTTTCTATTTGAGTTACAGAACCATGAAAGTAAGTATTTTTTATTGTGTTTTTCATGGGGTAAAGGCTAGCAATGTTTCTTTTACTACTCCAGTAATTTGCTCAGTTGTAAACACAGTTTTTATACAATGGAGGTTGATTAAACTACAGAAAAATTTCAGAAACATTTGCATTAGGTGACCAGGATAAGTTTCTCATCATATGGTCACACTCACATGGCCAATCCTAGAAAACATAACCAAAGAAAAATTAAGATTAAAGGGGGACTTTTCCCATATCTCATCCAGATAAAATTCATTATTGCTTCTAAGGGAAAAAAGAAAGGCAATAAAGAAAACAAAAACACGTGTATGATTTATTTCAAATAACCCAGAGAAATTTATCAGTTTAAGGTAATCAAACAGGAAACAGTCTCTTGTAGCTTATAGATAATACTGAAACTTTTCAGAAAGTTATCCAAGAGAAAACGTTTTATTTTCAAATGCAAAAGTGACTTACTGTTCTCATAAATTGCTACTCAATCATGGAAAATCTGGGATACAGAAGAGAAAAGGTCTTGATGAGGTTATGAACGTTTTTATTTAGATTCATTTTAAAATAATAATCGGTAATGCTAAGTTATAAGAAAGGTGATGGCACCTTATTCCCTGAACATTTTGTAATTGGAGGACTGACAACTCCTTTATATTCTTAAAGTTCACATCTAGACATAAAGCACTTTTAGACAAACTTATGAACTCTCCTATAAGAGAAGGCGCTATTGAACATTATTCAATGGCCATCTTTTGAGTCTAGTCCAATATTCTTATGTAATGTCCAAAATAATAGAAACCCCAGGGATAAAAGCGTGATTAATCAGTCAAGTCTGAATCAGTGGTAGCCTGGAAATACTACCAACTATCTTGCTTAGGGGTTGGCGGGAGTCGTTTTGCAAATTGCCTTTGTGATCTGATTTCCCACAATTGATTTCAAGCTACCGACCAACTTGATGTCACTGAACATAAAGTTGGGAAGAGATGCACAGTAACACATCCTCACGCCTATCACACAGATGCAGTCGATGGGAAAAAAACCCTCAGAATGTAGGTAAGAGAAAAGTACTAAAAGTAATTAGGAAGTGATGAGTAATAAGCATTTCTTACCTTGTTTTTAATATAATGCATTCAAGTATAAGTTTATATAATTTAATTTTAATACCGGTTGTGCTTAACTACCACCTTGAAAAATCATCATCATTTATCAATGGGTTTTCATGAGCTGTTATTATCTGGCTGTGACATATTACTGGCTCTGACTGAGTTCCTGTCCCTGACTTTTGTCTGGCTGTGACACATTACTGGCTCTGACTGGCTCTGACTGAGTTCCTGTCCCTGACTTGTTGGCCTGTTGGATTCTGGATGTTAAAAAAAAAAAAAAAAAAAAAAAAAGAATGTAAGCTGATATCCTAAACATGGTGACCCCTCAGCATTAAAAACAGGATCATTCCTAGGTCTTAGACTCTCTTTGGAGAGACCGAAAAAACCTATAGAACTTTGGCCTCAGAAAATTGTACATATGCAGACACCAAGTTTTACGTATAATTGCAGGGAGTTGTTTCCCAATCCCTCCTTACAACCCCCGCCATTTCAAGGCAAGTAATGAGGGAAGGCTGACGTAGTCAATAAAGGATAATGTGAAGGGGGCTGAAGAAGCATCATCAAGGGGCACCGCTTACTATATGATCCTACAAAATCAATTTCAATTCATTTCATTTATCAAATATCTTACCTAGAAATAAGAACCTGAACTGATTAAGCCTTTCAGGTATTCTATTAGTTTCCAAGGACTGCCATTGCAAAGTACCACAAACTGGGTGGCTTAAAATAGTAGACTTCTTGTCTCGGTTCTAGAGACCAGAAGTCTGAAAACAAGATGTCAGCAGGGCTATACTTGCTCTGAGACCCTGGGTAGAATCCTCCCTTGCCTCTTCCTAGCTCTTAATTGGTGGTGGTTGATGTTTGGCGTTCCTTGGCCTATAGTTGTATCACTTCAGTCTCTGCTTCTTTCATCACATGGCCTTCTCCCTGCATGGCTATGTATTCCCTTATAAAGACACCAGTATTAAAGGCCTATCCTACTCCAGTATTACCTTATCTTAACTAATAAAATCTGTAAGAACCCTATTTTCAACTAAGGTCACAGAACCACTAGGGGTCAGGACTTCAACATATCTTTTCAGATAACACAGCTCAAAAAATAACAGGTGTTAAGCCAATAATTTCATAAATTATGGATGATAATAATTGGTCCAGTGTATGAAGTCTCTCTCCTAAATAGAATTGTTTGGTCAATATCATTTCTCTTACGGTTTTGAAAGGGAAGATACTTATTTTCCTATTTAGCAGAGCTAGAAGCTCTCTCACTTATAGAAAAACAACTGCCCACATCATCTAGTGTAGCAACAGATTTTGTCAGATATAAGGCCAGTGTTTTTATTAAAGCCCAAATTCACTTTCTTAGTCACTGAAGCCCTTTCTCAGGCTTTGCTCTGAGCCTCCTCTGGCCATGCTCCATCCGCACAGAAGCCCCCTTCTAAACAGGAAAGGGTGCACAAATCCCTCCACAAATGAAGTAAAATATTCTATCCCAAGGGTTATTTAACTTCATGTATAAAAAAGAGCATTTTTGCCTGATGTCTTCAGTGACAAAAACAGCTCTGTGTCTACAAAAACACCCATTTCTGAGCTACTTTTTAATGTCTGTAGAGCTTGTGCTGTTTTACAGTTAGAAGCATGCTGTCTTTGGACACAAAGATAAAAATACAAAAAAAAAATGTTGTTGCCCCAGAAGAAAAAACAAATTATTTAATTGGTCCAACAGCTCTTTAGGGCTTTCACTGCACAAAGCAGAAGTGGTTTAAAAAGCAGACCTATTTACATTCAGTCCCTTTGCATTCAATAGCTGTTGAATACTCACTGTGTCCATAGCCCCAAATACAGCTGAGTTCAGTTATTGGAAACACAGATGTCTGAAAAATTAGTGTGATTTGTCCACACTCCCTTTTAGTCAATGACGCCAAAATCTGATATGACATTGTTTTCTCAATTATACTTTGTTTATTAAGGCTAGTACTTGCTTCCTGACAACGATTTAATTGCTAATTCAGTTTTGTACTCCAGACAGGTTTTCTTGTAAAACAAACACACACACACACACAAACCTAAAAACTAATATAAAATTTTAGAGCTACATTAGTTTCAGTAAAAGTGATCCTAGGGAAAAACAATGTACACATTCGAGATATTCTCAGCAAAGCAAGGATCATTGTTGACAGTCAGGGGCTGACGTGACAAGTAGTCAAAATTTTCTCTAGAGTTTCATAAAAGTTGCTCAAACATTGGTCACGAGAATGACTGAATCTCAATTATTCTCTTCTAGTTGCAATTTCCAACCCCATGAAGGGATCCATTATACTGGAGTCCTGGCAGGTGATTACTTGGCTTTAATGGAAAGATTTTGGGGCCTGAGCTCAATATCTAAAAAGAAGCCTGTTTTATTTCCCAGTAAGTCTATTAAGAGAAATCTACCTTCGTGAATCAGAAATTTTATGCTCGTGTCTAGAGCGATGCATTCTGAGTGTGATGCTGTTTCCATATAAGCTTGCCCACTATTTCTTAGTTCAGTTGTGTTCAGTACTTAGTTACTGTCTTCCATATGCTAGGAACAACCCCAGATGATGAGGATGGAGAGATCAGGGAGAGAAAGTCTTCTGTATGGATCTCACTATAGCACAATTCCTGCTAATAGAACTTTCCACAGTGATGGAAATATTCTATTCCCGCACTGCCCATTATGATAGCCACTAGCCACATATGGCCACTGAGCATATGAAATGTGGCAAGCTAAATGAAAAACTCAACTTTTAATTTAATTTTAATTTTAATTTTAATTGCCATGTGCAGATAACGGCTACTGCATTGGACAGCACAGGTCTGATGGAATAGACAGGCCTATATGGTGATAAATAGAATAATAAATATATAGTTTCCAGCACAGAAGGGTTGAACCTGAGAGATGAGGTTATGGCTGAGTGGCTCTGAGGTTACAGAGAGTTGCTCTGAGGAGGTGATGTCTGAGCTGGGTCTTGATGTTGAAATTTGCCAGGTGACAAGGGGGAGAAAGCGTTCTAGAAAGAATATCATAAAGACACACAGGAGCAAATGAACCTATTGAAAACAAAAAACTGCGAATACTCGTTTGGACACAAAATCTAGCTATGAGGCACTTGGTATAAATGCCATTGTTCTGACCTTTGTAAAATTAGTTTTCAAGGCACTTCTATGTTCACGTTTTGTTTTTACCTGTAGAACAAACAATATGAGACTCTTTCTTACCTGGAGTACCATACTGCACAATGCACATCTTAGATTCAAATCCACAATCGTGGCAGAAAATGGCTCATCTAAAATTTACATTTAATTAAAAGAATTCTTCAAGTTCTCACACTAACTGCTAATAAGTCAAGTCTGTCCTATCATATTTTGGCATATGTGAATCCTGAATGGAGACTTAGGTTTTTATGTGTCTATTACACTTCATCTAGGTAATTTCAAACCATATTTTAGCCTTCTACGATCTTTGAAAATGTTGAATAAGTCTTCCTTGGACAAACTCTTTTACCCAGATTTGTGCTATTCACATATTTAGAAGTCCAAAAATCTATCTACATCTGTGTTAAAGAACAAAATTCTAAGTAGAATATGAAGGGATGGAGGCTTGTAGATATCTGTCAGAGACAGCTCCTAGGTGAAGATCAAGGTGGGTCACCAGGACTGAGATTCCTCAATTTCCTTCTCCAGATGCAGATGTGGCCTGTACCTTCCCTGTTTAACTCAGTGGATACATTGTATATTTGTTTTGTTCAGCAAAACAAATAATGTCTTAATGGTTTGGCTTTTGTTTTTGTTTGTTTTCTAATTAGGCAATATTCTAGGCAGAAGGGATACAAACGTGTAAGGATGAGCATTAGCTCCTTTTCTGGAGTCTGAGACTTGTATCAAGAGATAAATTGACGGACCAGTTAATACTTGATTGCTGTGTGTCTTTATCAAAATAGCTATCTAACAAAATGTTCACAGCTTAGGACATCATTAGTCAAATTAGATTTCAGCAGGGTAGGGAAAGAGATAGAGAAAGAGGGCGAGAGGGAGATGTGTGTGTGTTTCTAACTTCAGAGAGAGGCAAAAAAAAAAAAAAAAAAAGAAAAAGGTGATGTGTTTGAGAAGAGAAATAAATCAAGTAGAGTGTGTGGCAAGGTGGGGTGAACTTATTTTTTCAAAGCATGATTATTAGAAACATTTTGTTTTACTTTTTAAATATTTTACTCATACAATATTTGATCAATTTATACATGGTTCTGATAGCAATTATCAGTGACTGCAACACAAAACAACATAAAAGTACTGAGAAAAACAATGGTAGATTTAGGGTGAAAAATTTCTGGAATTTGAAATAAATTATCAGTGAAGAATACTGCTTGCATACAATCTCTCAAAAATATTTAATGAATGTGAAGTTAGGCTGTGTTGATAAATATATCCAAAAATCAGTCCCCTAAAAGATTGTTATCCTACTTTGAAAGCAATCATAATTCCCCTAAACCAAAATAGAAGGCCTCAAAAGATTAATGTAGCTTTTCCTCAGACATGCAATTATGGTGAGAATTGTTAGAATCATTCTTTTAAACAACAATATAATTAGAATATAATTAGAGAAAAATATATAATTATATAAAATAAAACTTCTTAAAGTGAAGATTTAAAATACTAAAGGTTGAGTGGCACTGTATGGTGTATGCACTGTATGCACTTCATAATTTTACGCTATTACACATCGCTATGCAGTACTAAACATGCTCTCCTAATGACGTAGTCTTCTTGTCCATCTCCCTGCCACAGCCAAGCTCCCATTTAACATGATGACAAATATGGAAACGCTTCTGAATGGTGTCAAAGGTAAACAAAGCTGGACACTAAAGTGGTATGAACAGTCTTTACTCAGCAATAACTATTGAAAAATAGAGGAAAGAGTCCACTTGAACTGAATGCAACTTCACTGGGAAAAAAAAAAAGCAGGAGACAGAAACAAAAAGCTGGGGAGTGCTAGGGAAAAGGCACTCAAGGGCAAAAAGGGGGTTCAGTCCAGGTGACTAGGCCATTTGGGTTTGCTAACTGATACTTACTGAAGTTAGGCTCCTCTCCTCCCACAGAGACTGAAAGAAAGGTGCCTTATGTTCAGATGTTAGCTGGAATTTACGATAGTAAATATCTTTGGCAGATTTAAGCTTTTCCAACTGAGAACTTAAGGAGGCTGGAGACACCATTCTAGGGCTACAGCCTTGAGATGTTAGAAAGTATGCTCTGTTCACCTAGGTCTTCTTCTGACCTTCACAAGGTAGTAAGGAGAGGGAATGGAAGGGGAAGAGCCAGAAAATGGAAGAAATATTAACCAAACACAATCGCTGTGTTTGAGGCCTAGAAAAAAAAAAACAAAAAACTTTCTTCTCTGCAATCAAGCAATAGTAAATATTACTTTCAAAACTTTAGAAAAGAGAAAACCGAACTGCCTCAAAATGAAGTTACTTCTCAAGATTATGGGGCTGCTAGTAAGTAGCTGATTTGGCATAAAAGTCAGATCCGAGTTTGCTTCTTGCTGCTGACTTTAAATCTGCTGACTTAACCTTTGGATAAGAAGAAGCCTGACACGTGCCACAAAACACTAAGGAATTTTCGGCTGTAGAGTCACTTATGTAGTTCTAGGTCCATATTAGATGTTGACAAAGCAATAAATAGCTGAAAACAGAGGCATTTGTTTTCTTAAATCTTTTGAAAGATAACCTATTAAATTCATGTTAATTTAGGCACCACTTTAACACCAGTTTGCTGGGTTTAATAACCTATTAAATTCATGTTAATTTAGGCACTGCTTTAACATCTCTTTGCATAGAGGAGTTTAATATCTTAAAATGCTGTTAGTTTCTTTAAAATACAATTGAGGATTATGTTTGTTAGAGAAGTTAGTATTTGTTATGAGAATATTATTTGTTATTGGCATGACTATTACTGAATAAATGACAAATTTAGAGAAAAAAATCAATCTCAAGATGTCTTTAACCATACGTATGCCCATTCTCCAAGAAGAAACTTAATTGCCTATGAATGTCCAAAAACATTAAAACATCATGGGACAATCAGGCTTGTCAGATCTCTTTGCAATGTGAAATTTGATCCATTATAAGAGTTCATAAAATAAATTTGGCATACTGGGCTACCAGAAGTATCTTTGTTATTAAATAGAATAGTCAAAAAAGGTTGCTAATTAAAACATTTAACTAGAATTATCTTTCCAACTAAATTTAATTTGCAGTCAGTAAAGCAAAAGCTACATCTATCACCAATTTTATAATAGTAATTGCCACTAAGGCCATGTTTACATAACACACTGACTCACTGAAGTATGAGAATCGTACGTTCATATCCCACCAGAAACTGAGCATAAAATATAAGCCTGGTATGAAATGAATTCCTCAATTTATTTGATGCATGGGTTTTTCTCTTCCTTGTTTAATTTAAGGCAACTTTCTATTCTCAGGAAATCAAGTAATTGGAATACAAATTGCCACTTTACCCCCTGCCTCCCCCAACCCCCAACTTTCCTCACATTCCTAAATTGGTGGAAATTTTGAGAAAGATTTGCCAAGAATCTGTTACTTAATTCACTCTCAAGGATGGTCTTTAAAAAGAGTATTCTGTCAATAAATTCAACTGGTAAGGAGAAAAACAATGAAACTCAAAGGATCTAGATGGCTGCTTTTTATAGAAAATCTTATGGGCAATGTTAATTTTAGCATTTTGTAAGAGAGTTAAGCAATAGGACTATTCCTGAGACATAGTGGCTACTCTTACCTAAGTTGAGATTCCTTTTTTTGTTAACATAACTGAGCTGGATAGTTTTGTCAGTGTGGGCAACTCTCAACTTAGCTATACCTATAAGAAGGTCTCATGGTGCAATGCCTGATCATTCAAGGCAAAATAAGCTATGGTGCTTAAAAACTTGCCCTAATTCTAAGAAAACTCCTTACTTATCTTAATCCACATTACAGAGAGAGAGAGAGAGTGGAGAGTATGTCCCTCAGATATGTAACATGAAAAAAAAAATCATAGAAAATTCTCAGAACTTATAAAAATGAGAACTATTAGTTACTTATTCCCGCAAAGTAGAAGCTATAATTTTATCACTGAAACAGCAGAAATATGCACCCAGGAAAACAGAACTATGTGTCCCCAATCCATATTACTTCCTGGGAATTCAAAAAACTCACCTAATTCATCTTTTTGTCTCTGTCCAAGTCTGAACTTGAACCATGCAAGATCATAACTCTACACCCTTTTCTATCCCAAATTTCCTTTGACAATACAGTCTCCTTAGCCAATACTCACAACCACATGAGGCAATAATAGAACCCGAGTTTCTCATTTAAATGTTCATGGTAACAGACATTCCATTAATATTAGAGGTGACCAGTGTGGTGTTGTGAGAGGGAATATTTTCATTGTGTTTTATACAGGAGTTAGAATATTCTAGAGTTATAATGTGCTCCTCCTATACTTTCTTCCACCGCCAAGCACATTATTGTACCTTTGCCAAATGTTCTAGTAAGTTGGAGTTACATCCTACGTAAAAATCTCTACACAAAATAAAACTGGCTATAACCAGTTAAGAACTTTTCTTATCCCTCTGCCTTTGACTAACTCATCATGCCTTGCAGCCACTTTTCAACAAGTTTTGTGGGTCTCAATAGATGTTACAAAATAATTATCCTTTTCTTGTCAGAGATATTTTCTAACTTTATTTAACTTACCTTTATGGCAACTAGAACAATCATTTAGAAAAAAAAGACTGATTACTGGACTCAGTCCTCTAACTAGATATTGCACCATGCTGAAGATTGTAATAAACTCATTTCACATGTGTTTTTTTTTTTTTTTTTAAATTTGAGACAGAGTCTCACTGTGTCACCCAGGCTGTAGTGCAGTGGTGTGATCTTGGCTCACTGCAAGCTCTGCCTCCTGGGTTCAAGCAATTCTCCTGCCTCAGCCTCCCGATGTAGCTGGGATTACGATAGGCATGTACCACCACACCCAGCTAATTTTGTAATTTTGGTAGAGATGTGATTTCGCCATGTTGGCCAGGGTGGTCTCAAACTCCTGCCCTGAAGCAATCCACCCACCTTGGCCTCCTTAAGTGCTGGGATTAGAGGCATGAGCCACAGATGTCTTAAGTCATCAGGGGGAGGGTTCAATAAAATCACATACCTTGTGTTGTACTGATTGATTATGAGTTTGCACAACTGTCATAAATAGCAACTCTTTATCTATTAAGAATCAGTGGCTTAAGGAGGTGGTATCTGGCATCTTTTAAGGAAAGATAAGCTCTCAGTCTATAGCCGTAGAAGAACTGGATAAAGAAATTAACCAGAGAAACGTGTAGTTGGAAGGAGACTCAGAGGTCACTTATACAAATATCCCATCATATGCATAAAACCTGTTCATCTCCCCAAAACGGTTTCTACAGAAACTGCTTGAGCACTTCTAGAGGATGAGACAAATCCACCCTATTCTAAACAGGCTAGCTGAAAATTCTCACAGTGAGCTGCAATCTGTCTTCACAACACATTGCATTTAATTCTGCTTATCAAATAGCAAACACTTGGGGGAGCTCCTGTGCATTCAGCCCTATACTGACTAGGGTGGTGGGATTCAAGGACATCTGCAAAACCGCTTTCTTCTTCTCCCATGGGGAAGGAAACAGAGAATGACTAAGCGTCATGCTTCCACCATTCGCATAAAGGGCGGACAAGGCGGGGAGCACTTAGGCAAGTCAGTTGGTTTCCAGAACCTGTAGACTATAATAATAACACCTCATGAGGTTGTATTAAACTTGCATTCAAAATTGCTTAAATTGTGAGAGCTGCGCAAGTGCAAATGCTAATTTTCACAGCATCCCTTGCAGACTTCTATGGTAAAATATCCCACCTTGCGTTATAATAAGTGATTTGTTTAGCTGCTAGCTATAGAAGAAATGGTAACATATTGTCCCTTTTGTACTGAACACTTACTACAGTTCCTGGCATACCATAAATGTTCATAAAGATCTGCTGAATTCATCCAAATGACCACTCATCCAGGATTCTCACAAATGGTGATGTTAGACTGAATAGCATTGTAGATTAGAAGCAGGAATGTTACCATAAAGATAAAATAACTAGTGCACTTTAGATATGATCAGTTTAAGCAGGAAGCATCCTGCAGTACCAATCGAGAGGGTAAATGAGGGAATAAGATGGGATGACAAGTTTTAGAAGTTTTCACAAAGAGGGAATGGGTGAAATCATGTAGAGAGAGAAACTGAAGAGGGATTCACAGAGGAAAGGGCAGAAGTTCAGCCTAAGAGCTGAGACATTGGGGTTGGCAGAATAAACCACTTAGAGAGAAAGCCAGAATGTACAGCCTTATTCAACCAAATCTGCTATTACTCACACTTTATTTACTCTCCTAATACGCCCTTCAATCTGCCAATAAGTGTGTGGTAATATCTATTCTCTGTCCAACATAACTTGGATTTTATGCTGTATCAAAGAAAAATAAGATCTATACTTCTAAAAAGTTTGCAGACTGCTAAATAGATGACACTTACTTAAAACAAAAAAAGATAAATTTAAAAAAATTAGACTAGGTAGACCAATTGCATGATTGTGAGTTTAAACTGTGCTGCTATATGCCACAGGTTCTACAATTGCAACAGAAACAACAGAATAGTGTGGATCTGATACATCGATAAGGTGTTATGAATGAGATGGGTCCACAATCGAGCCATATGTAGGTAAGCTTTGACAAATTTTATCTGCACTAATGTAAATCCTTGGGCTTGAATTGTGTCTCCTCCGCTTACTAGCTGTATGAACTTAGGCGATTTATGTAACCTGTCTTGGCTCAATGCCCTCGTCAATAAACTAGGAAAATTAATACTTATCAAGAGTTTTCATAAGGATTAAATTAATTGATTGGCTCATGCATGGCACACTGAAATATGTAAAGATGTTCGTTAAACCTACTATTATTTCTTCTATTGGCTTAAAATAATATTTTGCTATGAATCTGGCACACTGTGGTCTGTTTCATCTTTATTCTATGTGTATTTCTATAAAAATTGTTTCTTTTACACAATTTAACACAAATAAGCTATTCTTCCAGTTGTGATCTTCAAAATATCAATACATGCTTAGGGGGATTGGATAGAAACTAGGTATTGCATGTGGGTAAGAGAATTGTGTGCAAGAAAAAACTGATAATTTATTTATACAATCTCTTTGATCATTTTTGTAATTGTGGCAAAAAAGGAGCTTTGCTTTTTTTTTTTTTTTTTTTTTTTTTTGGGATGGAGTTTTGCTCTTGTTGCCCAGGGTGGAGTGCAATGTTGCAATCTCGGTTCACCATAACCCCCGGTTCCCAGGTACAAGCAATTCTCCTGCCTCAGCCTCCCAAGTAGCTGGGATTACAGGCATGGACCACCACAACTGGCTGACTTTGTATTTTTAGTAGAGACGGGGTTTCTGCATGTTGGTCAGGCTGATCTCAAACTCCTGACCTCAGGTGATCTGCCTGCCTCTGCCTCCCAAAGTGCTGGGATTACAGGCGTGAGCCACTGCGCCTGCCCGCTTTGCTTATTTTTTAAATGTTAACTATCTTATCTAGGATACAAGAGAATAATCTAGTATTGAGAAAAGATCACTGCTTAGGAATTAGCATCTCTGGGTTCTACTCTGGCGTATACCACCAACTTACTATGGTTGCTTGAAAGAATAAGGTAACATCTCAGCTTTAATTTTGTCACTGTAAAATGAGAGAATATAGTGTCTTTCCTTCTTACCCAGAAGACATGTGCTGGAGATCCAGTAATTATTTCATATTCCAAAGTGGTATTAACCAAAATCGAGGCAGTATCTTTTTACATCTCAGATGCTGCCTGATATAGACAAGTGGCTGCAGACCTCTGTCTCTACCTGTGCAGTGAGTGGACATGTGGGTACTGGAGCTGTAGCCATAGCCCCCATCTCTGGTCCCTACATGGCTTTGATAGATTGAAATTGCTTTCTGCTACTCCAGTCCTAGTAGCAGTCAGAATTAGTTTCATCATCTAATTTATTAACTGATGGAGAATTCCCATTATGTCATTATAACTTTTACCATTCCTGTAAAAGAAACCTGACTTGCCAGGGAAGGGAGAAATGGTGTGTTGTTGTGTGAGTACATGTGTGTGTTCTCTAGATTCATATCTTATCTATATTTATTCTATTTTCAAGAAAAGAAAATGAGGCAAGGTGCAATTTATTTCCAATGTTCAGTGACTAACTTCACCAAAATCACAGCAAGGAAACAATTTTTTTTCTTTGAGACGGAGTCTCCCTCTTGTCGCCCAGGCTGTAGTGCCATGGTGTGATCTCGGTTCACTGCAACGACCACCTCCCAGGTTCAAGTGATTCTCCTGCCTCCATCTCCTGAGTAGCTAGGATTAAAGGCACCTGCTACCATGCCCGGCTAATTTTTATATTTTTAGTAGAGACAGGGTTTCACCATGTTGACCAGACTGGTCTTGAACTCCTGACCTCAAGTGAACCACCCGCCTGGGCCTCCCAAAGTGCTGGGATTACAGGTGTGAGCCACCACACCCAGCCAAGGAAACAATCTTATAAAATATATTTTTTAATAAATAAAATTGTGGTCAAAATTCTGAAGATTAAAAAACTATAATCTGAAGTATTATTATTTTGGGAGGTGGATATTGTATGAATTAAACTATTCTCTCTATCCCTCCACTCACTGTAATTAAAGAAAAATATTTATAAGAATTTAAAACCACAACATTTAAAGAGATTTCAAATAGAAGGGATGTTCTCTGTTATGTATCTTTTGAAAAAAAAATCTATTTTCTAGGTTGTCAAAGTTAGAACATTGTAGTAATGATAAAGGGATATCGCTTGGATTTTTCAAAATAATACCATGTAAAAAACCTGGAGTGTTTTGCCATTTACAAGTCAATTCATAGCTAATAGTAAATATTGCAATGCAATATTTAGTATGTATAAGGATGGTGCATAGCCCACAAAAAATTACATGTGTGTGATTTTTTTCAACCAAGGCTCCTTCAAGAACATATATAAAGGTTACAGCAAATTTCATCATACATAAGTCACATCTTTTTCCTTCTTAATAGAAAGATTAAAGTTTTATATGCACAACACATAAACAGAAGTAAAATAAACTAATAGAAACAAATATTTGAGAGCAAAATGCCTTATCTACAATGCTTATATTACCATGTTTTTTTAAAACAATGGAGTCTTAATTTATTATAGATTTTATAACAGAATGTATAACAATAGAAAACTGAATAAGAGCCAGATTAAGGTACACAATAGAGGAGTCTCTCATTTTTTAAATATGTTAAGAATTTCTCTTATAGAGCATCTCTCTTTGAAATGATTTTTCTTATGTCTACAGAGGAGCAATCCTTTTATAAATAGAATTTTAAAACCTGTCAATCATTTGGATGTTTCAGTATAAAATAGAAAGGTCTGCAGTACATGGACTTTGTTTTATCTCTGTTTAATAATTGTATAAAGTAAGAGGAAAGACTGATTTTTTTTTTTTACAGAAACACCCAGAAATTTAAAATATGCTTACATCAGATAAACCTCTGATGTTTTCCAACCTGGCAAGCTAATTTGCTAAAAATGTGCTAAACACACAATATTCAGATTCTAATTCCTTGCATACTATATTCTGTAATATCCAAGACATTTCAGATTATTTATTTTTGGAATGAGGTGCTGTATAAATAAATAAAACCCCAAGCACAATATTCATTAACCAACCAGTAAACACTAAAATACAAATTACCTAAATTCCTTTACTGACTTAAAAGGTTGTAAATATTGGCAGCTTTGCTGTTTAAATAGCTTGAGTTTCTTGCTGGGCAATATTGATAAGAAGGGAAAACTATTATTTCAGTAGAATGAAATGCATTAGGTTAAGGAATAAGTATATGAAATACATTTGTGCAGACAGTTTGGAAATAATTTTTGTGTTATGTGAGTTGAAACACAGTGTGGTAAGCCAGAGAATTCAGGAGCAACACTGAGAATAATAGAGGAGAAAAAAGTCAATGACCATTGCTCTAAGTTTCCATGCTTGTGGTCCCAGGAATGTGGTAAGCTACATACACAGATGAAGTGAATAACTACAGTGGTGGGCTCTGTTGCAACTCAACCATTTGGGTCCCCCTGCCCATTTCCTCAGATATGTAACCCACCTGCTTTATATTAATGGTGATATAATGAGATAACCTATATAGAAATAGATGAAGATTAATCATGGACCAAAACCCAAGTATTTTTCCAAGTTTTACCTTGGAGAATATTTGAGTTAGGGTTTGGCAGCAGTTGTGTGGTCAACAAATGATGAAGTCACAAGGGGATGGTCTTACGTTGTAAAAAAAATTTGCTCATACTAGGCCTGCAAACCAAAGAGTTTCTTGGAAATCTGCAGTGCTTTGCATTTTGGCATTTTGTCTTATCTGTGTTTTGTTGTTGGGGTTTTTTGTTTGTTTGTTTGTTTTTGTTTTTGGTAGCCATTGTGCATGGGCTGTTGGGACAGAGCTGAGAATCACAGAGCTCCTTGTCTGGTGAAAACCTGATTGCTTTTGCTACTTCTTACCCAGAGTGTGAGTATAGATAGAAAGGGGGAGGAAACCATATTTGGGTTTTGTTTTTAATCTTAAAATTATTGCTTCTGGGCCAGGCGCGGAGTCTCACGCCTGTAATCCCAGCATTTTGGGAGGCCGAGGCCAGTGGATCATTTGAGGTCAGGAGTTCAAGGCCAGCCTGGCCAACATGGTGAAGCCTTCTCTACTGAAGATACAAAAAATAGCCAGGTGTTAGTGGTGTGCGCCTGTAATCCCAGCTACTTGGGAGGCTGAGGCAGGAAAATCACTTGAGCCTGGGAGGCGGAGGTTGCAGTGAGCTGAGATCACACCACTGCGCATATATATGTCTGTTTGTGTGTGTGTGTGTGTGTGTGTATGTATATGTGTGTGTGTGTATATATATACTACACGTGTGTGTATATATATGCATATGTATGTGTATATATATACTACACGTGTGTGTGTATATATATGTGTGTGTGTATATATATAGCTTCTGCTACAAAATATCAGACAGGATTTTTTTTTGCCTTCTTCTAAAAATCCTACTGAAATTAGAAGAGAAAAATAAAAACCAATAAACTTATAACAGTTCTGAAAAAAGACTGGGTTGAGAAGATAACTAGGCCTCAATGGAGCAGCTTTTTGGATAGATATATGGAAGAGAGAAGAAGAAGAGGAACATATTTCTGTTTTAAACAAAGCAGGCGAAACTAAGACTTAAAACTTTCAGAGGACAAAGCCTCTTAGGAGGTGGGAGCTACTCTTTATGACTAAGACTCAGAGATTTAAAGTAAATATAGAAAGTGAGGCAGGAAAATAGGAAAGTCTGTCTAAGAAATATCTGGGCCATTCGCTGCCCACTACTGTCTGGTCCCTGCTGAAGCATCATTACCAATAAGATTTCTCCTAATTCCTAAAATTATGATACTACTCTCTAAAGAAACTTAATGATTTTCGCAGGTAGGAATGAGACTTAAGTCATTCTCATTCTGTAAGCTTCCAACATACTGCTAGTCCTCCTAGAACTCCATAGTGAAAGCAGCCAGGTCACCAACCTAGTTGGTCAGCCCCACTTTGGAGCAGAGAGAAATTTGGGGATAAAATTTTCCATGGTGACAGAGACATTACTTAACATCCTATTTCATACATATGAATGAACTATCAATGATTACTAAAAACCTTGAGAAAATAACAAAGGCCAAAGGAACTAAGGTAACCCAAGAGAACAGCCAACCCTAAAAGGCATTAAGATAATGCAAGGAACAGGAAAGAAGCTTATAATAGTCCCATTGATGATTTAAGAAACTGCTGTAACTATAAAACCAGAACAGAGTTTTAGGGAGAAGTCCAAGAAGAAAGGGTTCTTGAAGCTTAAAAATCAGTAAGAAACTAGTAGAAAAGCTTAAATAGTTGAAGAATCTCATTTTGCATTGAGCCAAAAGATAAATAAATAGAAACAATAAGAAAAGATTAACAGACATAGAGAATTAATCCAGGATGCCAACATCTATCTAATAATGGTTTTAAGGGAAAAAAAAAGACATAGTAAATAAGATGGCTGAAAAAAGTAAAAGAAAAAAATGAGTTAAAAGATACCCTGTGACTGAAAAATTGACGGCACTCATTAGAATACAGTGGTTGTTATGCGGTTAAGTGGCCAGCAAGACCCATACCTACCGATAATATCAGGTCTCCAAAGATTCCTAGAATATCGTAAAAGCTTCCAAAATGAAACATTGCCTATCTACAAAGGAAGGAGAATTAAATTGCCACTATCTTTCTCATCAGCAGTATTGAATGCTATAGGACAATAAAGCAATGTCTTCAGAGTTCTGAGGGAAAATTATTTTGAACTTTCAGCTGTACTATTAAGTAAGTATGATGAAAATAATGATGCTTGATATTTACAAGGACTCAAACATTTTTTCAAATACCTTTCTGAAACATTGCTTATGAATATCAAAAATGAAAGACAAAAACCAAAAAGGAAACCCAAGCATGGAGGAAGCAGACAGAGAGAAAAACAGTAAGCATAGCCTAACAAGAATGGACTAGGAGTAAAAAGGAAAAATATCCTGAAATGACAGTTACGTGGTAGAGCCGAACAATCAACAACACGAATTAGAACCAGAGAGCTCCAAGGGAAAAAATGATATTTAAGAAAAATGTATTTTCACTTTAATAATAGGACATTAAGTGGTGATTAAGTGATTAAGAAATATGTAATCTTAGTGATAAGGTAAAGGCATGTTATTATTTTTTAAAGACAATAAAATGTCATTTTAAAATTCTAGAAAAAGCAAAATGGAAAGTCATAGTCAAATAATAAAGAAAATTAAGATATGTTTTGGTGGCTAAAAGTAGATAATCTATTTGACCGTCATGCTTGAGAGGCACATACTTGGGGAAAAAGAATTACATTTTCTTACTATGGGTCCAATTATAGTACTTAGCTCTGGAGGGAATCATAATTGGATAATCATACTATAGTAATGTGTTGTTTATTGGTTTTAAATTCTATAATTAATCTAACAAAATAATTATGATTGGCAAAGAGCATGTATGAATGTAAAAATACACGTACAGCTGAAAGAAGATATAATAAAAGTTGAAGGCTTAAATAAATGGATAAACACACTTAATTACAGTGGATTTCTACAAAACATATTTACACTAATACAAAGACTTACTTTTAAAAGCCATTATCATGATACACTTTTTATGTTTATTATTTTTCCCTTATGAGGAAATGAATTTTCAACTTAATTTTCTATTAATGATCAAACATATAACAAAAAATAGAAAAGAAAAATCCAATGAGTGGTTTCTCAAAGTGATTACCAAACACAGGTAAATCCTCAAGTTTGAAAACCTAAGTCCTCCCACTCTTTGGAGGGACTTCCACACTAATCAAAGGATGAAATTTATCTATAGAGAAAAATTCTATTTCTATAAAATTTTATTCTATTTCTATGAAACTATAAAATAGCTCAAATTACAGTGTTTAACAGATAGATTATGTCTATCAATCATTCTGTTATACCTCATACTTTAAATCATTTTCTATATAGCTCATTGGGACATGTTATTTATATTTATAGACATTTGAGACATTATAAACAGTGCCATACACACTTTGACAACCAAATGCAGGCCCATTTGAGTATTTGTGTATTTGTTCCATAGTGTGAAAATATTTCAACACAAGGACTTTCTGAAATAGTAAACATTTTGACTGGAAAAATCGTCTTTGCTTAGCAGGCCTAACTCAGCTCAGTGCCATATGAAAAAAATAAGTGCAGGAGGCAATGAAAAACGACCAGTCATTTTTTTCTCCCAGCTGATACATATCTTATTTATTCTTCCTTGTAATGTGTGAATGCTGCACCGTGCCCTATTTTGTCTTCTGCCTCAATTAAAATGTAAATTTCTGCAGCCCATCTCTATAATTCCAGACTGCTCTAGGCAGAGGAATTTAAACTGCTTTTAATAAAACCAGCTACAGATGCTGAAATAAGATTTCTTCCCAAGTCTTTGAAATCTATATGTGTAATGGTATGCTGGATCTTCTCTAGTTACGTCTTAGTTACAAACATTCAGATAAAAGGAAAAGAAGGTGACGGGTGCATTTCAATATCACCACATACACAAACCCAAAGCTAGGGAACTGACCCTCTTCTCTTTTGGACAATTTATAGCAATCAATCCTATTTCTTTTACAAAAGATAAATGTTATTCACATTTAGAATTTATAGCCTAAAAATGTCACTGCCCATTTTCCCAGATAGGATAAAAATTTGATAGGTAGATTAAAAATTGAAGTAAAGTTTGCAAAAACAACTTTTGGATTTTTATATTAGCATGTTGGTCTGCCTCTTCAATTTGTCCACTTCTGTGTCTCACCCTGCAAAGCATCCAATGTTCCCTTTGTCTTGTAAATGTCTTTGCCCCTTTTCCTGGTTAACTCCTAATGTTGCTTTCAAGTCTTAACTCTGGTGTCTCCTCTAGGAAAAATTACCCGGGGAAGCTAGAGGGCAAATTGCCCCTTCACCTCTTACTTTCCTAATATTCACTTGTTGCCTTCTCATGATTCTAGTGATTTCCCATATTAGAATCATCATATAATTTACCTTCCAACCCCAGACACTTTATAGAGTAAAAGGAGTTACTAACAAGATAGAAATGGGGAAAACAGATGTAAACCAGCACTCTCCCAGGCAAACCAGGAGATACTGATGATCCATTATTAGTTAACTGGAGAGTTGACATTATTATCAGGCAATACAATAATGGAGAAGAAGAGGGTGAAAGTTGGATGTGTCATTGGAGAAAGCATCTGAAACTGCATGTTTGACATTTGTGGTTCTCCGATGCCTACAGTCCTCATAAAGCTGAAAGCCTAGTCATGATCCTACCATCAAGAAGGGAAATTATCCCTCTTCTATCACAAATGCTTAACATTCAACAGGATAATCTATAAGAACCTAGTGGTTCTCTACAGAGGGTGATTTGGTGCTCTTGGGGACATCTGGCAATATCTCAAAACATGTTTGGCTGTTACAACTTGGGAAGGTAAGGAGGATGCTAGTGGCATCTAGTAGGTAGAGGCAGGGGTGATTCTAAACATACTCCCATGCACAGTACACCTCCCAGAACAAAGAATTATCCAGGCCCAAATGTTACTATTGCTGAGTCTGAGAAATGCTGCCCTAAGCAGGAGACATAAGGAGCAGGCAAGAAGGGCAATGAACAAAGGTAGAGAAGATATACAGTGTTTAGCTTCCCTGGCTCAACTCTGCAGTCCTGTGGGAGAAGCAGGCCTTAGAAGAGAAACTCTTAGTGTCATAACCATCCTCAATTTGTCATCTGCTGCATTGCCCTCATTACTTGTCACTGGGGAAATGGCTCGAAATGAAAAACAACTCTGTCTATACCCTCTTGTGAGTATACCACTGTAGACAACAAAAATAAGCAATACCCTGAATTAAGTTTTCAAGTTCCATACTTTTTAAAATCCTGCCCCTCTATCCTCCCTCTGTAAATTTAATCATCTAGAAGCATGGCTTTCTTCATTTTGGTCCCCTGCTCAACACCTCCAGCAACTGAGTCCAAAGTCCTTAGCAATCAGTGTCTTTGAAGCTATCTTAGAAAGCTCTTTATGTAAGCATCTGGTTTCAGCCTTCTGTTCTAACCTCTGTCCTCCAAATAAAATTTCCCATCTCTAACTCTTTGGGTTTCCTGCCTGGAATGCCTTCTTGCCTCGATTTCTTCTATCCTAATTCTATTTTTCTTTCAAGATCCTGCTTAAATTTCACTTCCCCAAACTCTTCTCTCCATTATTCATCTATAACTGTTTATTTTTCATTACTCATTTACTTGTATTGATAATTATCTTTTGATGTGAATCATCCTAATCTTTCCATCAACATACTCAACATGCCAAGAAAAATGTAAATTTACATGTTTTAAATGTCCTCTTCAGTAAACTTATAGTGAGTTATACATAAAGATGTATACTACTTCTAATCAAAAAATATTATTGATTGCGTAGAACATTAATTGTACCAATCTCACATTTAACTGATGCTCAATAAATATATATTGTTGGCAACACCTATAGAGACATATCTGTGATTAAATAAGCTCCTAATGAGACCAATTTTCAAAGGACAATTTTTTTTTTTCCAATCAGAATGGAAAAGAAAACAGGCCTGCCAATCCCTTAGGTAAAGAGTTTCAGAAGATACTCATTGTCATCAATCCTTTCATTATTGTTCAGATTCTACAAGGGTGAAGAAAACTTGAGAGGAGGATGCAGGAACTGAATTAAATATAAGGCTCAGAGAGAGGCAATTTAACACATGTATGAAAAAGAAAAGAACTGTCAAAAAGTTCTAGTGTTGGTTAAATAGCCATCAAGTAGTGTTTTTCAAACTGAGTCTATGGGTATAAACTCATAGGTCCACAAGTTCTACAGGTTTTGGTTTTTTGCCTCTTAGCTTTTACCAAAATCAGAATATAAAATAATTTTGACCATATAAAGATAAATTTTATATTTTGTTGTGATTATCTGAAGCTAAAAGATATTTTCAAGGAATGTTTGAAAGTCTTAGCCAGTATTTCTCAAAATCCAGAGAGTGTATATTACTGGGTCTGGGAATTTCTTTTCTTAAAGAAAAATGTATAGGCTCAAATTTGGAAAATACCGGCTTATAATATACCTTCCTGGCATTATTGTTGTATTTAGTAAAAAAAAAAAAAAATAGCAGTATGTTTGTTTTCTGAAACAATTAGAAGGTTTGTGACTTATTAATGAAAAAATCAGATTAGCCTAGATTTCTTCAATTGAAGTTCTCTGATATGGCCTATTCTTTTCTTTCACTTTATGAATTAACTATTTCTTGAGATAAATTAGATAATTTTCTTCACCAACCAACAAGTTTTGATTATTTAAGAGAACTTTAACCACTGAATGACTCATTTTTATTGACAGAGTGAGCATTTATTAGTTTAAGAAAATATAAGTTTTCATAATATTTAGTACTTATTTTATGTTATAAAATTTTTTGCTATGAAAATGTCACAATTTTAAAAATTGCATTATTTTATTAGAATTATTGCTAAAAATAAAATTAACATAGTTAGTTGAACTGTAATCTATTTCTTCTCTACCTCAATTGTTGTATAGAAGTAGTCCTAATCATCCCTTGAAACGAGCCAACAAATGAATAGATAAAACAAAGAAAGAAAAGAGGGAAAATCATTAGACCTGACTATAACTGTCTAGATAACCGGACCCTGAAATTTCTAGAGGTGAACAGGACTTTGTGATGGTTTTCACCTTCAAAAATATGATATTTAAAGATGAATTAAAATAAGCCCTCTTTAAAACAAACAACTACCTGAATTCAATCTAAAAAAAAATAAAATAAAATTCAATGCATTGCACAGACCATGTCATCCTCCTGCTGCAGGCAGCTGGAGCCGCATGACGACTTCCCAGAGGAAGCAGCTGGGTGAGTAAGAGCTCATCCTTCATTGAATTCCCTAATAAAGAATGCATATCTTTTGGGACTTGCAGAAGCATCAAGCATCACTCTCCTCCCAACCTCCCCTGTAAGGCAGACAGTTGGGGGTGGCGGGGGCAGATAATTGAATTAAATACAGTGATTGAACACGAAAGCCGTGCCTATGTCTCAGGGGATAAGTGCTGTCTGTAGAACTCACATCCCCTCTCCTTTTCAAGTAACACTGACAGTAACTGGGCTGCTGTGGAAAGTTGTTGAAGTTGCCCTTTGCAACCACTCCGCCTGTTAAGTAAGAGGTGGAGAAAGTGTACACTTGGGATTTCATTTGAAGACATCTTCCCTCCAAAGTTCTTTATGCTTTAGTTCAAAGTATTATTAATTCAGTTCACATCCTTTCCACAGACAGGCTGATCACTGCCAATCTGACTGGATATGTTACCCATTGGTGCTCTTCTCATTCAGTACACTGAGAGGTAGCAGTGAATGGCAAATCAATCTCAGACTCCTCATGGGTAACTCTGAACACAAGCTATGCAAAAGGTTGTTATTTGCTATTCTTTGACTGAGGGGTGTTTTTGCTTGGAACCTACTTTCTCCTTACTTGGGAGAGGGAATATTAACTGAATTTGACGAATACAACTTGAAGAATACTCTGACTGAGAAAGACAGCTGCAACCTGAGTGAGTTAGCAACATCCATGCCTTTTGAGAAAGTTGGATCAGTGTCATGTATATGACTGGAAGGCTAACCCATCCTCTGGGCAGGCCCTGCACCACTCATTTCATAGGGAGGAATGAAAGTGGTCTTGGGTAAATGCTCCTTCACAGCTTTCTGACTCCTAAATGCTGTTATTTCCCACCTCCCTTCCTTTCCTCCTATCTCCCAGGAAGAGATAGTCAAACTGATTCCTTCCCCTCTCCTCCGTCTTCATAGGAAACTACCTTAATGACTAATCTCCTGTACCTCCATCTTTTGCATTCCTCTTGGCTATTTTTTAACAGACTATAAGTGTGTTCCATCTCTTCCAACTTCAAATATAATTATACTTTTATGCTAAGTCACCCTCAAGTACCACCTTATTGTGTACCCTTCCTTCACACATGAGATATTTTTTAAAAAAGCACATTTCCAAAAGTCCTATCAAAAAGGTACCTGCATGTTATTACAGCACAATTCACAATTGCAAAGATATGGAACCAACCTAAATGCCTATCGACCCATGGAGTGGATTTTTAAAAATGTGGTACATATACACCATAGAATACTACTCAGCCATAAAAAAGAATGAAATGTCTTTTGCAGCAAATTGCATAGAGCTGGAAGTCATTACTCTAAGTGAAATAAGTCAAAAATGGAAAATCAAATACCGTATGTTCTCACTTTGAGAAATAAGCCATGGGTATGCAAAGGCATACAGAGTGATACAATGGATAGGAGACTGTAAAGCGGGAAGGGTGGATATAGTCCTCGTTCTTTGTCCTAACAGGCATTTCGCAGGTCATTAAGGGCATGGCTTCTGGAATTGAGTCCTGCAGATTCACACTCTCACTGTGCTATTTACGAACTGTGTGGTCTTTGGCACAATACCACCTGTACTTTGGTTTCCTCCTGTATAAAATGAGTTGATAATAACAGCTACCTTCCAGAGTTCTTATACAAATTAAGTGACTTAATACACATAAAGCAATTAGAAAATTGTTCGGTACTCAATACATGTAGCAATTTTTACTCGGCCTCTATGCAGTTTGATGCTGCCGACCACCTCTTTCTTGTTGAAATTCTCTTCTCCATTGACCTGCAGAGTGTCAGTTTGTTCAAGGTGTTGCCCACTTCTCTGTTTGCTTTATTTTTTATTTTTTTTCTTTACTTTCCTTAAACTAAGGCTCTAGCATTGCCTCTCTCCTGAACTCTATTTGTCTTTGGTTTTGCCCCTCTTCCAGCAATTTTCCACTGTCTTTCTCGTGTGATATTTCCAAAACATAGATCTCTTTATGTTTTCCACTTCTTAATACTTTTTCAATGGCAAAACCATCATCATTAAGATAAACTCGGAAGCACTTAGAGTGATATACAAGCGCCTCTTTAGCTGTACAGTTCAGTATCATGCCACCCCCACCCTTCTCTGCACTCCCCTCACTTCATGCTACATGTAAACTACTTGAATTTTATACAAATTTAATTTGATTTGATCTTTGTGATTTTTATTTAAATCAAAAGACAAAAGAGTTGTCCTAAATTAGAGCCAAGCAGATATGCTTTTTTTTTCTTTTTCTTTTTTCTTTTCTTTTTTTTTTTGAGATGGAGTCTTGCTCTGTCGCCCAGGCTGGAGTGCAGTGGTGTGATCTTGGCTCACTGCAAGCTCTGCCTCCTGGGTTCATGCCATTCTCCTGCGTCAGCCTCACGAGTAGCTGGGACTACAGGTGCCTGCCACCACGTCCGGCTAATTTTTTGTATTTTTAGTAGTGACGGGGTTTCACCATGTTAGCCAGGATGGTCTCAATCTCCTGACCTCATGATCCACCCGCCTCGGCCTCCCAAAGTGCTGGGACTACAGGCATGAGCCACTGCGCCCGGCCCAGATATGCTTTTCTTGAAAGCATCACTAATAGCCCCTAGGATACACACATACAGAGGAACAAGAATGACTTTTCCAACTTATTCTAGAACATAATTTTACATCTGGGCAGAAAACCAAAGAATTCACACACTGAGATCAATGAAGAATCTTGGTGATCACCTCATTCCATGTCTCAATTCAGGCTGTGCATTGGCATCACCCTGGGATCTTTTTAAATGTCCTCATGGGCAGGACATGTCACAGACCAAATAAATCAGAATCCCTGGGGCCCAGGTAGGGTATATTTTTAGAGCTCCCCAGGTAATTCTAATGGATAGCTAGGACTGAAGACCACTGTTCTAGTCTATCCATCAGTTTACAGATGAGCACATTATAAGACACTTCATTTCATTTTCCTCTCAATATTTTTCCCAGCAAAAATGACTGAGCTTAGTTATGAGGGGTAAGAAAAAAAAAGATGACATAAAACAATAAACACAGAAAAGGAGATTTTTCTGCACGAGAAGTGTGACCATGTATTTTATTACCTAGACTAGGGCATTTTGAGCACCTTGAGGGAGAAACTTTGTTCTCCATTGTCACACCAATGCCTAGAATAGTGATTGACACAGAGTAAGTGTTTATTAACAATTTATCGCATGAATTAATGAGTTAAGGTTTACAAACTTAAGAGGACATTCCAGAATAATGTAAAACATTATATCTCATTTTACAGGTTTCATTTGAAGAACTGTGTACCCTTCACAAATAGATGCAGAGGTAAGCTCTCTGTGTTTGCATATGTAAGATAGTGAAAACAGATGGTGGCTATTATCCCTCTACTTTAAGAAGTGAACATATATTTAAAAGTTAGATATCAGAATAGAATATCCTCAGGGGGAAGAAACCATTGGGCTAATGTTTTATTTTACAACTGGAGTCAGACTGGAAAATAAAATGTGAAGTTATCTTCAGCTTTTGAATTAAGATATTTGTGAAAGGGAGAGATTACATTTGTAAATGAGCTTTAAATGTTGTCATGGATGGAATTGTGTCATCTTGCAAAGTTCATATATTGAAGTCTTAACCTCATATATGATTGCATTTGTGGATAGAGCCTTTCAGTAGCTAGCTAAGGTTAAATGAAGGATAACGAGTGGGGTCCTACAACCTAGGCAATACCATTCAAGACACAGATACAGGAAAATATTTCATGACAAAGACACCAGAAGCAATTGCAACAAAAGCAAAAATTGACAAGTAGGATCAAATTAAACCAAAGAAGTTCTACACAGCAAAAGAAACTATCAACAGAGCAAACAGACAACCTACAGAATGGGAGAAAACTTGTGCAAATGATGCATCTGACAGAGGTCTAATATCCAGCATCTATAAAGAAAAACAAATTTACAAAAAAAAAACATGACCCTATAAAAATGTGAGCAAAGGACATGAACACTTTTCAAAAGAAGATATACATGCAGCCAACAATCATATGATAAAAGGCTCACCACTGATCATTAGAGAAATGGAAATCAAAACAACAATGATATACCATTCAATAACAATCAGAATGGCTACTAGTGAAAAGTCAAAAAATAACAGGAGCTGGCAAGGTTGTAGAGAAAAAGGAATGTTTACACACTGTTGGTGGGAGTGTAAATTAGTTCAGCCATTGTGAAGGACAGCGTGGTGATTCCTTAAAGACCCAAGAGCAGAAATACCATTTGACCCAGCAATCCTACTACTGCGTATATACCCAAAGAAATAAAAATCATTATATTATAAAGACACATGCACAAATGTGTTTATTGCAGCACTATTCATAATAGCAAACACATGGAATCAACCTAAATGTCCATCAATGATAGACTGGATAAAGAACATGTGGTACATATATACCACGGAATACTATGCAGCCATAAATGAATGAGATCATATCCTTTGCACGAACATGGATGGATTTGGAAGCCATTATCCTTAGCAAACTAACACAGGAACAGAAAACCAAATACCACATGTTGTCACCTATAAGTGGGAGCTAAATTATGAGAACACACAGACACATCAAAGGGAAAACACACACTGGGGCCTATCAGAGGGTGGAAGGTGGGAGGAGGGAGAGGATCAGGAAAAGCAACTAATGGGTATCAGTCTTAATAGCTGTGATGAAATAATCAGTACAACAACCCCCCATGACACAAGTTTACCTATGCAACAAACCCGCACGAGTACCCCTGAACTTAGAATAAAAGTTAAAAAAAGAGTAGAGTCCTAATTCAACAGGACTGTATCCTTATAAGAAAAGAAAGAAACACCAGAGCTCTCTCTCTCTTCCCTGTGAAGACACAGTGAGAAGGCAGCCATCTGCAAGCCAAGAAGAAAGCCCCAACCAAGACCAACCTTGCCAGCACCTTGATCTTGGATCTCTAGCCTGCAGAACTGTAAAAAGATAATTATATGTGGTCGAGGTTACTAGTTTGTGATGTTCTATTGTGGTAGACCAAGAAGGCTAATATGAAGTGGACTTTTTTCTTTAGGGTCAACAATGATGGCTTGAAGGAAGCAGAAAATTCAAAAGAGAAACAAGGTCCGTCCTCTGTTTCTAATATTGTTCAGGAGATCGAGTATAATATAGAGTAGAAATCTGTTAAATGAAATCCTCTGGAAATAAAATCTAACAAACTTTTAACATATCCGTAATAAATGTCTGGAGTGTTTTGTATGTGACCTAACTCACAGCACAATATAATTTAACCTAAAATTACTACAAGTCAATTATACCTTTTAAAGGTTAAAGTTAAAGACATCATGCCCACAGTGCAATTTCCTCCCAACAGGAAAGTAAGTCTTACACTGCAGTCATCATCTCTTGGTTTTGTTTTAAAATGAAAACTGAAAAATAAAAATTAGCTGTCTACATTGCAAGTGGAAAATGACAGGGTAACATACTGGATCATTTAGATTCTCCTTACAACGTGGGCTCAGAAAACACTGTTACTATTTATTCTCATATATTCTCAGAGCCTCCCTGCATTAGATTCTACAGGCCACCCTGTGGCTTTTCAAGCAAAATAATCACTCTTTTTTTATAAATTCATTTTATCAGCACTTGTGTTTTGATTTGCTGCAAGTCCTCTGGCATTTATTAACAGTCAGAGTGGTTTGGGGCAGCCTTATGCAAATGTGGCTCCGTCAACCAACAAAATGCACATTTTCTGTTTGACAATCAACATTTCATTAATAGCTTGTTAAAGCTGGAATGGACCTTAATGACAACCTATTTCATGCCTCAATCTCCCACCCGGCAATACTAGCACCAGATAAAAGACCCAGGCATCTTGACTTTCAGGACATTATGCTACCTACGTGAACAATATCAGAAGATGCTTTCTTAGGATATGTAGACAAGATTTTCAAGCTGCAGGAAAATTTGTATCTGGCCTGTCCTTAATTGAACACACCTTAGTATCTACATTTCTTGCTTTATCATAAAAATAAAACCAATATTATATACATGTATAATATATTCTTCACTGTATTTTTTTCAATTAAAAATAAGCATTGGCATAAAAAGTTCTAATACACTAACAATTTTTATCTATCTTCTGTACCCATTATAAAGGGTCATCTGTTATTTAAACACACACACCTCCGCCACACATACAACAGGACATGAGTGTGCCCAAAGCACAGGAGAAAACATTCAATGAATCTTCTTTGATCTACCGAATGAAATTGTAAAACATTCAGTTTTATCACTCCTATAGAAATGAAAGATAAATAAGCCTCCAGTGAAAATGTGTTGGTTAAGAAAAGAAGAAAAAAGTATCCTGAAGGTCTAGCATCCTCTTCTCTATTCACACCAGCATGTGAATCCTACATACTCTAGGCCTCTTGGGAATTTCTTCTGTAACATAGTAAAGATGGTACCTTTCTCACCACAAGAAGCAAGTCAGTCTGCAGATCACTAAGGTCTCTTCAGGTGCTAAGATCTGTCTCTCTGTGAATGCATGGAACACAAAATATGGGAAGAAAGGAAATCTCATGCTAGTCTAATCAGAAATAAGGAGGCAGAGAGTTGGAGCTCTGGAAATGAAAGATGCAAGGATGTAACATTTTACTTAGGGAGCAGAAATATGAGAAAGGGAGAGCAAAAACCTACTTGGCCAGTGGGTAAGCAAGTTATGTAACCAGTATTTGTACATGCCGCAATTTGAAAAATCTATAAAATGAGCATCGTATTATTTAGTACAACTTAATAAACTTTTACAGTTTATTAAGTGATTTAAAAATTCACACTAGGTATAAGTTAAAAAAACTTTATCATTTGTATAAATTTGAGGATTTTATGATTCCTTTAACTAAAGTTATTAAACATGAATACTTGTCAATTTAAAAATACATTGCTATAACCCCATCTTCCATAGACTGCATTATATTAAAGATCTAGATAAAGAAAGACCCAATTGAAGATACCTAATGCATCTATTCAATCACTCATTTATCCATTCAACAAACATTGATTGAATATCTACTAGGTTCTAGCACCGTGTTATCAGGAAAACACTGGTTAAGTGGTCTGTCGAAACATGAATATTGAATCTTTCCTGTTCCATGTTGGCAATGAACCCATTTCTCTGTGTCTAGATGATTACTTCTTTTGTTTGGAATGCAGTGGCTGCAGACTGCACAGCTCAGTGCACCCCCATAAAAATCATGCATAGCATGGAACCATTCAAAACTGTATTCAGTGATGTGTCTCTGAGGGTAATGTAAAGCAGTGATGGATATCAAGAAAGCTAAATGCTAAGCACCAAATAAATAGTATGTCTTCTCTTCAATGGCATCATCAAGTACCATTAAGATGGGATGGCAGCTCCTCTACCATGTTCCCTCAAATGAGAAGTACATTTGTGCTAACATAGCAAAGAAGAGGAAAGTGTAGATAAGGCAGACTTTAATTCCTTAGTTTTGCATTGCTTTTGGCCCAGTATACATGTATTCATATATGTAAATATATGATATATTTTATTACATAGACATATCCATCTTGATATGTACATGGAGTAAAACCTATAGCGAGAGTAAAAAAAAAAAAAAAAGCAAGAAATTTTCATGTACACTTACGTGTATTTCCCTTAACATAAAAATATTTTAAAAACAGCTGTTAACACATCTAATTCCTGATTTGGAGGCTGTGGAGCTTATCTGCCCATATTATTCTAAAACAGAACAGCAATTTAAGGCTAAGAAAATTTTAGCTTATTTATGTTTATTTCATGGTATTTTTAGTGGCATGTTACACAAATCCACCCAAGGCAACTTAATTGTGGAAGGCATATTTTAAAATAATAACTCAATTGATAAGTATGATAAATGTGTTTTTGTTTACTCTCACTAGGACCAGCCTATGTTTAGAATTTGAAGGAAATATAAATATATCCTCTGCCCTACGGTTTGTCTCCAGACATCTACCAGGATATTTGACCAGTGGAGGTGATTTGTTTCTTTCATGTTCATATATTGCCTTTCTCTTCACATCTCTGCTTCAAATCCACATCATTTTGAGAGAGGTTACATATTAACTTCAAATTAGCCATCAGCACCTTATTGTGAGTTAATTTCTGAGCTCACTGTCAGGAGACAGAGGGGAAGTGGTGTTCTGATGCCGTGAGGGAGCACAGGATGCTTGATGAATTCATGCCTCAATGTGCTGTTAAAGTTTGTTGTGTATGGAGACTACATAGCAGGAAAGAGATCCAGGGATAAGAAAAGAGGAACAAAATGTCACACCTAAGATCAATCATCAGTGCCAGGTGATAACTTTCTGCACAACTTGACTTCTCTCTGCCTTAGGAGGTTTTCACAAGAGTGAGATCCAATAATGTGATCACTGAGTCATTTCTAAGGGGATATTGCAGACTGTAACAGGCTAAAAGTGGTAGAGGTAGAAGAATTAACCATTGAAAACCACCTCTCCCCCATCTCCCACCAGAATGAGTTCCTTTTTCTTGCTTCTGTCATTCCCTACTTCAGTCTATAATCTCCTCTGCCAAGAGGTCTGGGAAGATATGTTTGTGTGTGTGCGTGCGTGTGTGTGTGTGTGTGCGCGCACACACACACGCACACCTCTCCCTGTATCTCAAGGCGATATTGTCAACTTGCAAAAGATGTTCAGACTCCTTTCTGAAGACATTCTATTCATACCACTCTGATGCCAATTCTACTAACTAGAGTCATAGGGAATTATACATCCATTGCTAAACAGGCCACAATCCCAATGGTGCTGAGCAAGCTAATTTTCTGGGCCCTGTTCATAATGTTCAATTGGTAGCAGGGGAGCTACAAAGTGGTAAGCTCTGATATGATGACTAATCAATCAGAATTTGAAAGCTCCTGCACAGGGAATTCTGGGAAAATTCAATGAGGCTCTAGAAGCTGCACTAACGAAAAAGAAAAGGCCAAGGAAAAAGCTGTGTTTTTTTTCTGCCCCTGGGGTTGAACAGCTGTCATCTGTCTCAGAGTCAGAATGTTTTTTCTAAGTAAAAATCTCATTTACATACTATAGAAAGTGGTGGAAAAATCAGTGAATAAACAAATTTAGCATCAATTCCTAGCTAATAATTATGACCCTCTCTTATTCCCCAGAGTTTCAATTCAAAAGAACTGAAGCTTCACAACATTAGTTTTAGGAGCCAGAGTTATGAAGATGCTGCTTAGACGAAATGCCCTGATCTTTCTCTGCACAGCGGTGTGCTGCTGTTGTAATTTTGCCTAATAATACCCCAAGCTCCACTTGTTACTAACTACATAGAAATAATTCTACAGAGGCTTCAAATGGAATTGTGTTATTCATCATGAATTCTCCCAATGCTTAGTCTATGGCATACCAAAGGGAATTATTTTATGAATGGCAAGTACCTCCCCACCCCATGCTATATTTATAATTTCTTTTCATTCACACACATTATCTGGAAGGTTAAATTAAATTTCCCACACTTATTTAGTAGATAACAATGCTTTGAGTAGTCTTTAAACTTTAAAAGACACATTTATTTATACCATATTCTAAACAATATGTCTTTAGGTTTACACTTAGAAAAATCTCCATTACTTAAAATCACTGGAGAGTAATGTTGATATATATACATACTTAGAAATCATTTTATATATTATGTGATAATTTTGAGTTTTGGAAAACTGAAAAATACATATCATCTGAAAATAGGCTTCTCCACTTTCTCATAAATCAAAATGATTATAACAGATAAATTAAATGTTACAGTCTTCTGAACTATCTTTACATGTGACAAAGGTTTAATTATGCCACCTATAATTACAGTGTGGATTGTATTTTAATATATTCTAAATGTTAGAAAAATAGTGATTAATTATTCAGAAGATTTAAACAATCAGAATGTCAATATTTATTGGCTATTCCTAATAGTAAAACAGATTCAGTGTATTTAAGTAGGTATGTAAATATATATCTTCCTAGGAGCATTTAAGATTTATATGTATCTAAATATTTCTATGTATGACATTCATACAGAAATCCCATAAAATCATAATTCTTTATTAAGTAATTTTTTAAATATTATGTGTCAAATCAAGTCTTCCAAATGTAAGAACTCTTATCATTGTACTTTGAATGTTCTCTTCTCTGACAACATTGCAAACAGCTTTCACTCTGTAAAAATGATCTCTATCATTCTCTCATTCGTACAACAAATACTTATTGAATACCTGCTACACACAAGGCAAGAAACAATGAAACCAGTCATATGTCTTCTTTAATCCTCAGAGATAAGGCTAGGAAGGCTGGCAGGGATCTGATTGTGGAGAATATAATTCATCTAATTTAAACTTTTCAGCCTATCCTGAAAAATATACTTTATGAAAACATAAGCAATTAAGAAATATATTCAAATTAGAAGCTTTAGAATGTTGGAGAGGACTGATGAGAAAGAGAGAGAGAGACACAGAGAGTCACAGAAAGAGAGAGAGAGAGAGAGAGAGAGAGAGAGAGAGAGAGTGGGGGGCGGGGCAAATAAGGAAATTGCATTAGAGGCTAATCTGGTTGAGATAAGTAAGTCAACTAAGTAGGTTCTAGGGAATTTATAGCATTTTGTAAAGGAGGATTATAAAGAATCATTGTTGGCTGATTGAGGCAATGGTCAATGGAAGTGAGGGGAAAGAATGACACTGAGACGTTACCCAGGTTTCTACTTCGGTAATTTGGTTGGTGGTAGTGTTATTTGCTAATATAAGGAATTCAAGGGAGAGGCAATTTGGAGACAAAGATTGTTTGTTCATTTCAGCTATTTGGTGCTTTAGATGCCCATAGGACAACCAGAGGAAAACATCCAGTAGGCACTGGATAGACAGGTCTGGAAGTCAAAGGCAAGATATTGGATGGTGGGAGAGATTTGGAAGTCATAGGTGAATAGCAGTAAAAACCAAGAAAGGGAATTAAATTGTCCAGGAAAAGCATGTTGGCATAAAGAAATGAACAAAGAGCAGAGCCCTAGAGAACAAGAATAACTAGAGATGGGCTACTAGAGGAAGAAGAAAAGTGAGACCAGGAGAACCGTTTTTTTTTGTTGTTGTTGTTTTTTAATGCAACTTACAGGCTAAGGGAGAGAGAATGTGAGAGGTTCACAGAGTCTCATCCGAAGGGGGAAATTTAGGGTTGCCTGATTTAATGTGGAAAAATACAGGACTCCTAACTAAATTAGAATTTCAGATAAACAGCAAATATTTTTTAGTATATCACAAAAACTGCTTACACTAAAAAGTAGCTATTTTATTGGAAATTTAGATTTTACTAATTAAATTTAAATTTACCATTTAAGATGCAAATTATTTTGTATTTATCTGGTATCCCTAGCTAAATTACATGAGAACTAAAAAGATTCCACTGCGTCTGTAAGCACAACCTTTATTGGCCATTATTTACAGAATAATTTTACTGGTTGTTTGAATCTAGTTTCCATTGCTGATGAGTGGATGGTTAAGAGGTAAATTCCAAACATTATCTTGAGGTCTGTGCTGTGATATGAAGAGGGCAATGTAGGGCAATAGCTAGAGTGAGACTCCGAGCCTCCTGAACTAGTAACAGAGGGAAAGGATAGAGCCAAGATAACAAGAGAGGGTGGGATGCTGAATAAGGGACACAGCTGCTCCCTCTGCACCCACCCACCACCAAGCCCTGTGACAAGCCTCTTTCCTGTCTGTATGTCTTGTCACACATGGAGCTCTCCTCTATATAATACTTTTCCTTAGTCCCTGCCTGATGCATTGCAATTCATCCTTCAACACCCTCACTATTAGTAGAAAATGTGCCTGGTCACCCTCCTCAGAGTTATTAACTCTTTCCCTCTGTTACCCTAACAACGTCTACCAAGATGCTATAAACTCCATCTCGTGATCCATTAAAAATCTCTGACTCCTCAGAGGGTAGCTGGAGGATGGAACTTTGCGTTATTAAATTTCGTAATACCAAAATCTATTCTAATTCTTGGACCAGTATAGATGGTTAATAAATGCTAGAAGAATAATATACACCTTTCCAAGATCCCTTTATTCTGTTGGCTCTAACAACTACAAAGAGAGAAATTTCAAAAATCTGATGACCATTGAACAAAGTAAAATGTGTGTATTTTAATGCGTCTAAAATCTCAAGTTAAGATGCATTAAATAACTACATAGGCATATATTACATCATCCATTATCCATACAACATTATCTAATTTTTACTTGCATAAAGTGCCACAATTATATTGCCAAAAAATCCTGTCCCTGTATTTCATTTTCTATTGTTACATACGGGTTACATTTTTATTTTCCCTAAATAAATATACCGAATATATTTTTGAAGTTATCAGGAGGCAAACATATTGAATGTGAAAGCTCATCTAGAGAGAGATCTAATATATCAGAAGAGGAGAAAGCAACAGAAAATTAAGGTGGTAAATCTAGAAGAAAGTATAGATTAACCAGAACTTGAAGAGAGAGACAGACACTGTAGAAAGAGAGACACAAAACAGGAAAGAAAAATTTCAAAAGACAAAGTCTTAGAATGGTGCAAATTCCTATTAGCACAAGCATTATTACCAAGAATACAGAAATAAAATGACCCACTTGAATTCAAGGTCCTGGTCAAAACTATACAGTACATATTATACACTTGGTTGCCTTGGCAGAGAACTTTTGACATTTGAGTAATTACATTGTCATTAAGAAAGAGACCTGCAAATCAAATAAATAGTATTGCTAGGCAGGCCAACCATACTCAGTTAACTCTACCTTGGGAGAAGGTCTACAGAGGCGTTTGGGTTGGATTTGCTCCATGAAAAAGAATGAGGCCATGAAGTAAAACAATAGGACTTATATATAAAATGGTTAAAACAAGGCCAGGACAGCCAAAGTAATAAATTGTGTGGTTTTTTATCCACATTTTCTGGGCTATTCTACTTACCAGGGCTTAAGACCCACAGAAACATGGGATACTGGACTGGGAAAAGGAAATGTGTCAATTCATTTCAGAGGGATTTAAGCATGCTGCTTCTGAGCACCTTTCCCTGCCTCACCATTAGTATAGGGTGAGCCAACCAGAGGGAGGAGTAGAATAGGCAGAAAACAGAGCACAGGGGCTCCAAAGACGTTCAAATCGCTGTTGAGTTTCCTCTTACATAGCAGGAAAGACGCATGTCAACGACTTAAGCCTATTACAAAGCAAAATTCAATTCAAGTGGTTCATATTAATTAAGGCAAAGCTTAATAAACAGACTGGTTACAGATGAGTGGGCTGGATTAAGGGATACACCCAGAGATTTGAAACAGAGAAAGTCATGACCACTGATAGGCCTGAAGGGGCAAAGGGAGAAACAGTGATTCCCATCGTGAGATCACAAACAGTAGGAGCCATGGAAGAGCTGTCGCCTAACATAGCTGTACTCAAGGAGGGTACAGACCAATACAGAATGGAGAAAAGCCCCCAAGAATCCTTGCTTTTGAACCCTTGCTTTTCACTGTCCTATCTATTTTCTCCTGTTGGTGCCTCCGATTGGGCAATCCACTGGAAGCCAGCTGTCCCTCCACCAGAAGCCAGCTGTCCCAAGAGCCTGTGTCAGTCTCCTGGGGGATACTGCACAGCAGAGATGGACAAAGTAGGGTTTAGGGGTGGAGGGTATACAGAAAAAAATTGAGATTGTTCAGGGTATTAGCTCTCAAAAGTGTATGGAATGCCTGCGCAATTCAAAAACAGTACAAAAATTATTTTTGTTTGCTTGGATATTATAAAGCATAAATAAATAAGTACTCTCCTTATGCTGCTCATTTTTGGAAAGTGAATCATTCAAGTTAGCAGAGTTTATAAGCAATGTCTCTTTATTCATGACCATGCCATAACCCCCTGCTCAAACAACTTTTTGCTTCAGGGTAAATCTTGGCTTCAAAATAGCAAGGGAAAAAGGTTAGATAGGATTGCTTGTTTACTATGGGAAATGATCTATGGATTTTTTTGGGAAGAATTCCTAGCAGTCTATCTCAGGTATTTTCAAGTTCTTAGCAATGGAGAGAAGCACTTCTGGAAGACAAGCATGATATTCCTTTATGGGTCCCCACAGAGCCAAGTACATCAGTGGAGTTTATTGAATGTACTGAGAAAATGTTTCCTGGCTCTCATATTAATGGGTTTATGAAAGGAAGATGCCCATGGGTAGTTTGTATATTGCACTGAGATTTAACTCAAGTGCAAATCATTGAGCTAATGGATCCAGTGGAAAGAGAACTCATTTGGAAGACAGGAAACCTGTGTACCAGGTTTGGGTTTGCCACCAAGTATGATCTTAGACCACAAATATAAATTACTTATGACACACTGTACTTTCTCAGTAAAAATGTGTGTGTGGGATAGTTTATTTCCAGTGTCCTTTTCAGAATAACTTAAAAAAATTAAGCTTTAAATTCTAAAGTCATTTATTGAAATAACCAAATACCTTTCTGAAGAACAAGCAATGCAGAAAGAAAAAAACACAAAAATTATTATTACTTTTCTCTGCCATAGTTTTAACCCTATTTTTGGAATTCACATTTGCAAGGTCATTAAATATATAAGGTGCATGGCAATAGCATCAGCTAAAGAAAAGTGGATAAAATTATGACCTTCTCATTGCTTAGAAATTTGTACTTTAAAAAATTACACAGTATAGTTTGGAGGAGGAGGAATCTTCCTTTTACCCTTTTGTGGTAGTTTTCCTTTTAAGAAAAAAAAAATCAAGCATGTCCTTTCTAGCCTGTTTTGTCAATCTAGCCTTGACTTCTAGTACTTAGTCTGTTTCTTCAAGAACCTTGTCCTTACAGTCTTCTCTGAGATAATATTTATGGATCACAGCAACATTTAAAGTATTACCTTTATGATAGCCTGAATAATGACCCTCAAAAGATATCCTCATCTTAATCCCTGGAATCTGCACATATATTACCTTACCTGGTGAAAGGAACTTTGTAGCTGTGAAGTTAAGGATCTTGAGATGAGTAGAATATCCTGGATTATCTGGGTGGCCTCAATGTAAACACAAGGATCCTCAAAAGAGAGATGCAAAAGGGTAAGATCAGAGAGTGAAGAAGTAGAAACAGAAGCAGGGATCAGAGAGGAAAGATGATGCTAGGCTGTTGGCTTGGAAGATGGCATAATAGGCCATTAATCAAGGAATTTAGGCAGCCTCTGGAAACTGAAAAAAGCAAAAAATGGATTTTCCCCTAGAGCACCTAGAAGACTGCAGCCTTGCCAACGCGCTGATTTCTGCAAATTGAAACTGATTTCCAACTTCTGGCCTCCAGGATTGTGAAATAATATATTTACATTGTTTTCAGCCACTACATTTGTGGTAATTTTTTTAAAACAGCAGTAATAGGAAACTAGTAGACATTCTAAGCAAATTTTAAGTAGGGACTTCTGGAATGACCTAAACATTTAAGAAATCTCTGGTGATTTCAGATCCTGTGACAGAAAGTTATAGAGACTTTTTAAACTAGAAAATAGTACCCACAGTCCCTCAAACACTACTAAATCAATTACGATCGATTGACGTACATGGCAATAAACCCAACTATAGCCCTAATCCATGATTCTTTAAAAAAAATTGAGATTAAAAAAGCCACAATCACAAAGTTTCTCTCAGGCTCCCTCATGGATGAATTAATAAAAATGCCTTATCTTTTCCTTTGGAATTTATATCATTTCATGTTTTTTATTAACAAATAATGGACAATTTGAAAAGTTAGTCTTTAGATTCAACATCATTAAATGTCTTTTTCTGAACTATAATGTTGGTAAACTATTTCAGAATTTCCCTTTTTGGAATGAGCATTTTTCTGAATTAAATTACAATCATAACAGATTAAAAGACAGTTTTTGTCTTCTTTCCAAGTCTCCTTAGGTAAGTTCCTTAAAAAGAGCAGAGTGAAATTTACTATTGATGAAACTAGCTATTTATTCTCTCTATGCTCTGTAGCCTCTGAATATGCCTGTCTCTAACTGTACTTATCATATCATATCAAGAGAATTATTTATTTACAAGGCTGTCTCTATCCATTAAAGTCTAGTGATTGTAATATGCATGTTTTGAGGTTAGGAATTTTCCTTATGCACCTTTTTAAAATCTCTCAAGCCTTGTGCAAGGTAAGCACTAAATAAAATGTTTTGTGAACTTACCAATTCTTACAAAGGCTAAGACTATAATACACTTGATGATGCTCTGAGAGTTTGGATAAAAAAAAAAAAAACTAGAGATAATCAGAAATAGCTTTCAATATTGAACAAGGTATGCCAGATAATATAAGTAACTGCTCCAAAGCAAAAACAGCATTGTTTAAAACATTCCTGGAAGTGTTAGAATTCTCTTTGCACCAAGTGTTCACCCTGGGCCAAACGGTTAAGAATTCAAGGTATTTTTCCCTGTGCATTTCCATACTTTCCCTTTAACCTGGCCTCCACAACACCTTCCCACTCAAAAATGCCCTCCACCTTCATCCTGCTTCACTATTTCCCAGGACACATGCTCAGTGTGCCCCAGACCTGACCACTTCAGACTCCTGTGCATGTTCAGGCAGTCGCATCCCTCTTTTGTTCACTAAATTGCATCCATTTGCAGGTCTTTGCTTCACAGTCTTGCTTTCTGCTTTAGAAGTATCATTTATCATTAAGGAAATATGTGCTCACTTGGTAAGGTATACATAATATATATTTATATATCAATTTAATATCATTCTCCTAGAAAACATTTTTCACACCGGGCCTTTTTTTTTCCACATAAATCATGTAGGCATGCTTATTATGGAAAATAAGATATAAAGAAATAAAAATACTTAAAGATCTTTAGATAAAAATTTTTAAAAAAATCTATATCCCTTGATATTTTAAAAATGGAATTGAGAGCTGTCTACTCAAATTGGCTCCAAATTTTTACTGGAGTCTTAATTCACTTTTTTTTATTTTTTTAATTTTATTATAATTATAATTTAAGTTTTAGGGTACAAGTGCACGATGTGCAGGTTACATATGTATACATGTGCCATGTTGGTGTGCTGCACCCATCAACTCGTCATTTAGCATTAGGTATATCTCCAAATGCTATCCTTCCCCCCTCCCCCCACCCCACAACAGTCCCTAGAGTGTGATGTTCCCCTTCCTGTGTCCATGTGTTCTCATTGTTCAATTCCTACCTATGAGTGAGAACATGCAGTGTTTGGTTTTTTGTCCTTGCGATAGTTTGCTGAAAATGATGGTTTCCAATTTCATCCATGTCCCTACAAAGGACATGAACTCATCATTTTTTATGGCTGCATAGTATTCCATGGTGTATATGTGCCACATTTTCTTAATCCAGTCTATCATTGTTGGACATTTGGGTTGGTTCCAAGTCTTTGCTACTGTGAATAGTGCCGCAATAAACATACATGTGCATGTGTCTTTATAGCAGCATGATTTATAGTCCTTTGGGTATATACCCAGTAATGGGATGGCTGGGTCAAATGGTATTTCTAGTTCTAGATCCCTGAGGAATCGCCACACTGAATTCCACATTGGTTGAACTAGTTTACAGTCCCACCAACAGTGTAAAAGTGTTCCTATTTCTCCACATCCTCTCCAGCACCTGTTGTTTCCTGACTTTTTAATGATTGCCATTCTAACTGGTGTGAGATGGTATCTCATTGTGGTTTTGATTTGCATTTCTCTGATGGCCAGTGATGATGAGCATTTTTTCATGTGTTTTTTGGCTGCATAAATGTCTTCTTTTGAGAAGTGTCTGTTCATATCCTTTGCCCACTTTTTGATGGGGTTGTTTTTTTCTTGTAAATTTGTTTGAGTTCATTGTAGATTCTGGATACTAGCCCTTTGTCAGATAAGTAGGTTGTGAAAATTTTCTCCCATTTTGTAGGTTGCCTGTTCACTCTGATGGTAGTTTCTTTTGCTGTGCAGAAGCTCTTTAGTTTAATTAGATCCCATTTGTCAATTTTGGCTTTTGTTGCCATTGCTTTTGGTGTTTTAGACATGAAGTCCTTGCCCATGCCTATGTCCTGAATGGTATTGCCTAGGGTTTCTTCTAGGGTTTTTATGGTTTTAGGTCTAACATTTAAGTCTTTAATCCATCTTGAATTAATGTTTGTATAAGCTGTAAGGAAGGGATCCAGTTTCAGCTTTCTACATATGGCTAGCCAGTTTTCCCAGCACCATTTATTAAATAGGGAATCCTTTCCCCATTGCTTGTTTTTCTCAGGTTTGTCAAAGATCAGATGGTTGTAGATATGCGGCATTATTTCTGAGGGCTCTGTTCTGTTCCATTGATCTATATCTGTGTTCTGGTACCAGTACCATGCTGTTTTGGTTACTGTAGCCTTGTAGTATAGTTTGAAGTCAAAAGTCAAACAAATTTTACAAACATTTTTGAAACTAACTCGATGACTTAAGCCATACAAATGCATCAATGTATTTGTGCAGGGAGGCATAGCCAACTTTGTGGTGTTTGGTATCATGCAGATGGTGGCTTTCAGCATGAGCCTTTGCTTTCCTTCAGCAGTGATCAGGGAAGTGTATACCCTCTTCCTGGCTCAGTTCTGAAATAAACTGTCAGACAAGGACCCCAATATCCATTATTGTGGTACAGAAAGGTAGCACTGAACTTTTCATATAAAGATAGATCATCGTTGCTGTTTCATCCAGTAATAGGTCATGACAAAGTTTTGCCAGATCTCAGAATCAGTGCTATCATTGTGTCTTAGTGCACAATGTCCTATGCATTTTATTTTTATTTTATATTTTTATTATACTTTAAGTTTTAGGGTACATGTGCACAACGTGCAGGTTTGTTACATATGTATACATGTGTCATGTTGGTGTGCTGCACCCATTAACTCTTCATTTAACATTAGGTATATCTCCTAATGCTATCCCTCCTCCCTCTCCCCACCGCACAACAGGCCCCCACACCGGGCCTTTCTTTAGAAATAACTTCTTAGCATACAACATAGAATTTCAAATATTTAGTAAATGCTGTATCATAGAGTTTTTAAAAATCGTTAAGTTCCCTCAATTAACATAAGCATGTGTTTATGGGTACTATTGGTCCTGATTATAGGAAGCAATGAAATTGTACGGCTCTCTAAAGAGCCATCAAAATTCAGCGTGTGACCTACTTTAGTCTTACTACAAAAATATAAATATAAAATAATATCACTATATGGCAAAAATATTTTTAATCCTGTTATTTACTTACTTCAAACATCAATCCATCAATAAGGTCTTGATTTTGAACAATCCCTTGGAGTTCACAGAAAGTGAATTTGACTTGTTTTATGAGAGTAACCGTGTTGGAGGGATTAAAGAGGGAGAGGAAGCCAAATTACAAAGCTCAGTTTGCTAATGAAGTCAGTAAAGAGTACAAGGAAATATCATAATGTTGGGTACGCTTTGATCCTCTATCAATGTTGTGCAATGGTGGCTGAACATGATCACATTTATATCAAATATGTCATCTTGATTTTGGAGTCACTGGGTAATAAACTGTGATGAACCATGGTCAATTTTTTAAAGATGATTGAAGAAAAATAAATGAGTTTCCCAAATGGGTAGAATAAAAAGAAAAAGAAAGTATGTCAATTAGTAAAGTAGAGACAGCAGGCCTAAAGCAACATTAAAAATGTAGACATTAAAAGAAATGAGTGACAGACCCAGAAGTTGAAAGATGTAAAAGTCTAACCTGATTTCTGCTGGCAATGTAAAGTGTAGTGATTTATGTAATTTATCACAAATGTTAAAAAATTTTAATTACAGGAAAATCCTTCAGGGATATTTACTTGATAAAAGTTTTCCCTCCTTAATCTGTCATTCTCTAACACTACAAGGTTTGTAATATACACAAAACCTAGAAATTTTTTAAAATCTATAGTTTTGAAACCCAGGGAAATTTCGAGCTCCAGGAAAATTTTGAGTAGCTATATTGTGTGTGTGCGTGTGTGCATGCATGCGTGGGTGCGTGTATCTCCAAGCCTACTTAAAGTCCATGTTAGTAGAAACTATACCTTTTCATTTTGCTGTTGTTTTCTGGTAATTTCAGTGTCTAGCATGAAGTCAGTAGGGCTCAGGAATGTATACACATAAAAAATCAAAGTTTCGAAGAAGGTTCAGAGCTACAATTATGATACAGAATCACTGCCTAATTCCCCCAGCTAACCTTTCTGTCACTCAGTGCTCACCAGCAGACTCTGAAAACATACTAGTATCCCATGAAATTCTTTGAATAGTATATTGACTTATTTTGTAAACCAGATGCATAGCAAAAACAGCAGATATATCTTGGTCTGCTTGGCAGTCATTTTATCATTGGAACCATTATGAATAAATATTATTTATTGTGTGCCTCCCATGTGTGATGATTTAAAAAACTGCATCTAGTGCTTGATAAAATTATAGACAAAATTTTATTTTCAATACTTAAAATTTAAATAAACTTAAGTTTGGGAATGACAGACACTGGGAACTCAAAAAGTGGGGAGGAAGGGAGGGGAGCAAACCCGTCACACTATCTGGGTGACGGGTTCCATCGAAGCCCAAACCTCAGCATCACACAATATATCCATGTAACAAACATACAAATGTAGCTCCTGAATCAGAAGTGTATATGCCTGCGTTTAGAGGGTTCAATAACTCATCCAAGACCACACAGCTAGTGAATCAGTTGGTTTTAAGTAGTCTTCCATCACTTATAAATTTGAGTTAACATGAACAATTTTCTGGGACTGGCTTAAACATGAATGCTCTGAAAAGCAAACCAGTTTCTACCTAGTTACTTCCTCATGTTTTATCAGTGCAAATCCAGCCAACTGAACTCATTTAAAACTCTGTTTTTACTCTCTTTCATTCACACGATTCAATTCTTGACCTATTTACAATTATAGTTTCTTCCCTCACCCCCCTGAAATGTTATTTATTCACAAAAACTAAACCAAATTGATGACCTCTAAATCAGAGGTGTCCAGTCCTTTGGCTTCCCTGGGCCACATTAGAAGAACTGTCTTCGGCCACACAAAAAATACACTAACACTAATGATAGCTGATGAGCTAAAAAACAAAATTACAAAAAATTTCAGTGTTTTAAGAACGTTTATAAATTTGTGCTGGGCCACATTCAAAGCCATCCTGGGCTGCATATGGCCCGCGGGCTGTGGGTTGGACAAGCTTGCTCTAAATCCTTACTTCTAGCTTCAACCACTTTCAGAGCTTCCTTGAGCCACTTCAAGCAGAGTATCCACAAATGAACTCATTCCTGACCCCTCCCGACAACATGTCTCTCCTCCTTCAATATTCTCCAGCTGAGTATATCACCTCCTCATCTGTCACTCAGGTGAGTTATCTTTAAATTTACATCCTTCTTTATCCTAAATGCCTATGGCCACCAAGTCCTGATCTTTCTGTCTCTGATGTGTTTCCGTGTCTCCATTTTCATTGTCCGTGCCCCAGTTTAGGTCATCAACTGCTGATTCCTAGAGTTTTGAAATATTTCCTCACTTCTTTTCCTGTCTCTTGTATCCTAATACCAACCTGTGTCTTAACCACCCTTGAAAATTATCTTTTGAAAATATGGAATTATTAAAAGCTATTTTTTATTCTGCTTTATGAGGATAATTTCCCCACTTTAGGCTTCTCTCTCATATCCAAGTACAAATTTCCAACTTACACCATTCACAGATCAATATTATTAATAATTACAGGTTACAAGTATTGAATACATTTTTGGATAGATTTCTAAATCTATTTTTTGATAGATTATCTATTTTTGATAGATTGTTACCACAAAAAAATGCAGATTATAAAAAAACTAAAAGATGCTATAAAATAAATCATACAAAATAATAAAAGGATAGAAGAAATAGAAACTATAATTTAAAAAGAAAGAACAATATGAAAAAAGAACAAGCTGATTTGACAAAGAAATAAACAAAGCTTCCTCACTCCAGAGCATGTGCCACTCCATTTTTTTTGTGTGCTTTCCTGCTGCACTTCATTTTCCATACCACTGTTCTAATTCAGGAGATTATAGTATCTTGAATCAATGCAATAGCCTTATTGGTGTTCCAGCTTCTAACATTGCCTCTTCTCCCAATCTGTGCTAAAGCAGGCACAGTCATGTAAAATGCTCATCTGAACATATTACTTCCTTGATAATAACTATCCATGACATCTTGGTGTTCTTAAGGTAGTTTGCAAGGCTCTGTGGGTGTGTTCTTGCTTGCCTCTTAAACCTCATTTTCTATCATTTACCACTCTCACATCCTATTGAGTTCTTCGCACATGGAGCACAAGGTACTCTCTATACCTCCTGGCCTTTGTTCTTGCTATTCCCACAGATCTTGCCCTGGACACTAATTTCTCATGGTCCTTCCTGAAAACCCACAGTGGAGTGAGAGAGCCTTCCTCTGTTCACACATACTTTATAGTCTTCTCTTAAAATCACATTTACAATATTTGTGAGATATGTGATCAAAAGAAAATATGTCTATAAAATGCAGGAGATAATGGTCCTATTAATATTAATTATGTGGATGGTATTTAGCAGATGTTCTACAAATACTTGTTAAAAACACTCTTCTCTTGCATCTCTTTAGTTCCTTTGTTCTGCTGAAAAAAATTCTACTAATATTTTAAGAACTAGCTCAAATTATCACTTATTTTTGAAATATCGATTGCTCTACTTTCAGTTCCCTTATATTATAATTATTTATAAATGTCTATTTTTCCAGCAAAGTTATAATCTACTATATTGGTTGTATTTTATGAGTTTTCCATACACTTCTAATGAATGAATATATAAACTAATGGCTAGAAAACTCCAAATGATAGGTCATTAAGGTTCCATAAAGATCATAAATGATCATAAATATTACATTTTTTCAATTTTACTGAACTAGCAAACCTTTTAATTTGAACAACATATCCTTTCACATATCTTCACCATTTGATTGTTCTTTCTATCGAAGTTTCAGGAAATAGTCTATCCTAGTGTTGAGAGAATTGTCTGCTGTACTCAGAAATAATTAAGTATTTACATCAATCCTAGGGCACTGAAGTTGCAAGAGATTCAAAGCAATATGCGTGTTTTCGGCCTTGCTATTGACAAATTGAACTCAACTGGAAAAAGTGTACCTGCCTGTTTCATTGAAGTCCATTCTAACTTTGGTCATTTTAAAATCAAATTTGAGCTTTATAGAGAAAAATATTTCCTCTTAATTAAAACATGTTTACAAATTTTAATCCATTAAGCATGAAAATGTAGTTAAAATCTGATGAAAGATATTAAAGAAAAACTAAATAAATTGAGAAATATTCCATGGTCATTGATATGACTGATTGTGTGAAGACGTAATTTCTCCCCAACTTGATCTATAGAGTCCATGTGAATCTGAATCAAAATTTCAGTAAGTTACTTTGTGGCTATCAACAAACTTAGTCTAAAGTTTATATGGAAAGGCAAAAGACCCAGAATAGCAAACCTAATATTTAAGGGTAAGAACAAAGCTGGAGGACTGACACTGTTCAATTTCAAGATTTACTACTATAAATCTATAACTAAATAAGGTTATAGTAATCAAGACAGTATGGTATTGGTAAAAGAATAAATAAATAGATCAATGGAACAGGACAGAGAGCTCAGAAATAGAAAGCTATTTTCAAATATAGTTAATAAATGTAGTCAATTGATCATTGACAAATTAGCAAAGGCAATAAAATGGAGCAAAGACAGTCTTTTCAACAAACGATACTGAAACAACTGGATATCTACATGTAAAAAAAAATCTAGACACAGACCTTATACTCTTCCCAAGAATTAACTCAAAATAGATCATAGATCTAAATTTAAAATGCTAAACTATAAAACTCCTGGAAGATAACACAGGAGAAAACCTAAATGACTTAGGTTTTTTTGATTTTTTAGATACAACACTAAAGGCAAAATCCATGAAAGAGATCATTGATAAGTTGGACTTCGTTAAAATTAAAAACCTCTGTTCTGTGAAAGACAAGATTAGAGAATAAGACAAGTCACTGACTGGGAGAAAACCTTTGTAAGACATGCAACTGATTTAAAAAAAAAAAATGATAGCCCAAATATGCAAAAAGCTTTTAAAAACTCAACAATAACAAGCAACCTGATTTTTAAAATGGGCAACAGACATAAACAGTCACCTCATCACAGAAGATAAATATACAGATGGCAAGCAAGTATACATTAATAACATGCATTCAGTATCATATGTTATGTTATTTGAGAATTAAAAATAAAAACAAAAAATGTGGTACCATTACAAACCTATTGGAATAGCCAAAATCCCAAACACTGACAATATCAAATGCTGGCCAGGTTGTGGAGCAAGAGGAACTCTTATTCATTATTGGTGGGAATGCAAAATGGTGCAACCACTTTGAAGGACAGTTTGGCAGATTTTTACAAAACCAAACATACTCTTCACATATGATCCAGCAATTATGCTCTTTGATATTTACCCAACTTAACTGACAATGTATGCCCACAAAAATCTACACATAGTTGTTTATAGAAACTCTATTCACAATTGCCAAAATTTGGAAACAACCAAGATGCCCCTCGATAGGTAAATGAATAAATCAACTGGTAAATCTTGACAGTGGAATATTATTTGGTGCCAAAAAAAAAAGGTCTACTAAACTCATACAGCAACTTAAATGCATATTACTAAGTGAAAGAAGCCAATTTTAAAAGGCTACATACTGTATGATGTGAACTACATGGTACTCTGAAAAAGGTAAAATTACGGAGACAGTAAAAAGATGAGTGGTTGCCAGGGCACAGCATGCAGGAAGGGATGAATAGGGAGAGCACAAAGGATTCTTTAGACAATGAAACTATCATGCATGATGCTATAATGGATACTTGTCATTATATCTTTGCCAAAACCCATATAACACAAATGTACAACACCAAGGGTGAAACCTAGTGTAAATTATGGACCTTGGGTGATAATCATGTCTCAATATAGGTTTATTGATTATCACGAATGCATCATTGAGGCGTGGGATGGTCATAGTGAGGAAGGATGTGCATGTATGAAAATAGGGAATGTTATGAGAACTCCGTACTTTCTGCTCAACTGTGCTGTGAACCTAAACCTGTTCGTAAAGTTTACCACCTTAAAAAATATTTAAAGCATACAGACATAACTTAAGCTGGTATTCAGTTATGACTTAGAGAAATTGAAATTAGAATATTTATACAACTCCTCTCTATAATGAATTTACCACAATAGACTTACAAGAGACTGAGGAACGAATCAACTCCATTTGCTCCATTTATATTGTTATTCAATTAATATAAATAATGTGGCTTTTAAAAATTGCTTCTTAAATAATCAGTTGTAAGAAATTTGGCAATAGCTTTGTGGAAATAATTGGGCTATTAATCTGCCTTGTAGATTCCAAGATCCTTGCAGAACCATAAGACCTTTCTCAAATATTTCCCTACGCTTCTCTGAGGGTATTCCTAAGACCCATTTGCAAAATATGTTGTTTCTTGCTTGAATGTGATCTTAAATGTTCAGAAAATTCTGTCTTACTACTGTAATTTTTCCCCAAATGACTATTGGCAGAATAAAATAAGTCAGACTAAATTAGAGTACATATGTAGAATATAGTAAAATGACAAATTACATAAAGCTGGTAATAGTTAAGACAATTACAAACAGTATGATTATTTCATCTCCAAAAAATACTGAAAAAAAAACTAGTGATATTTTTCTAGTATACTGAAAATTGTTATATATATTCTTGAGTGATCAGTTAATATTTTCTAGGCTTAACCACAAGTATTCTCATGGTATTTGGGTTGTGAAGATTTTTATTGCAAGCCTAAGGTTGGATTATGAAGAGAGTATGCCAGCAATACGATGAAAATGAATAATTCCTATTTTAATGAAAGGGAAGTTGAACACAGGTACATATAAATGGAGGTGATGTGAAAGCTGTAGTAAGAATTCAAAGATCCCTGTGTCCCACAATTTTGCTCAGAGTTTATAATAGTATTTTTGCTATATAATTTAAACATATCAGGGCACCTCAAAATTGTTGCTAACATCACCATGGTGTTTTAGCCTAAACATTCCAACACTCATGAAACTCCGATTGCTTTTGCAAACCCAGTATGGGAGGGAGATAAGATAACAGCACAATCTTTCTGAAAAGTAACATTTATTTAGTGATCATTTTGGACTCGTGCAGACACTGTAATGTCAGCTGATGCACCTTCATCTCTTTCATAGTGTTTGAGCCCTTTAGATCAATCAATTCAAATTCCTGCTCCTAACACACTGAAATGTTTGGTTAAGCTGACAAATTTGTGTGGTAAATATAACCGCCTGGCAGGAAGCTTTCTGCCTGCCGTAGTCAATGCTTTGAAATAAATCCAGCCAGAACCATTTGTTCAGGCAGCTTTGAAAGTCACTGATACAAATAGATAAGCTGCATGTTCTTGCCTTAGTGCTACATTAGAATGACTCAGTGGGTAGGGACAGGCCACTGTTCTGGAAGGTCCAAAGGACTCCACTAGCAAATGGATCAGGCAGATACAGGTTGAACTCAGCAGGAATCACCCAATATATCCTGTGGGAGAATTTGGACTGGGTCACAGAGGCGGAAAGCCCTGGAGAAGACATCAGTCGAGGCTGTGCATTGTTGTCTCATGTTTGGGACTGCTCTAACAGCGGTGGGGCAACCATAGAGAAGGGGTGAGGATGTATGGACACTTCTGTATGTCTTGGTAAGACTTGTTATCTAAGCACTGAGAATGAAAGTTCACAATGACTTTGAAATATTTCTGTAACTCACCTGTTTATTAATTCATTTAAAACGTAAATATTTGATAAGCATATCTTCTTTGAAAAGGGATGTTGGTTACTGCTTGGGGATTGAGCCAGAGACATATTTGACTTCACAACAGATAAAAATACCGTAGAATGATGTAAGGAATATTAGAGAGGTATTAAAGGCAATGTTATGAGTTTTTTTTTTTTTTTTTTTTTTTTTTTTGAGACAGGAGAGTCTTACTGTGGTGCCCAGGCTGGAGTGCAGTAGTGCAATCATAGCTAACTGCAGCCTTGACTTCCTGGGATCAATCAATTCTCCCACCTCAGCCTCTTGAGTAGCTGGGACTACAGGCATGTGTGACTGTGCTCAGCTAATTTTTAAATATTTGTAAGACAGGATCTCACTATGTTGCCGAGGATAGTCTTGAACTCCTGGCCTCAAGCAATCTTCCCACTTCGATCTCCCAAAGCACTGGGATTATAGGCACGAACAACCATGCCCAGCCTATTATAGGATTTAAATAAGTGAGAAATCATTTAAATGATTGTCAACATATAAAGAAGTAAATTAGCTCTGTTTATGGAAATGACACTAAGCACTACAAAAGCCAAAGCTATACAGACAAAAGGGGGTACTTGAGCTGAGTAGAAAGCTTTTCATACAATGAATGCAGTAACTTAAATTGGTATGGCCTTTCTAACTTCCTCATCACTTTTATATACCCTATTTTATGTAATCATCACAACAGTCCTGGAATATAAGTAGATAAGAAAATAGTTGGGGTCTTCTCCCTCCACACATTTTTTCTTGATCAAGCAGATTCCAAGTGTAGATTGTTAAATATCTGAGAAACACTTAAAGATGTGATGTGCATATGAGAGGAAGACATTAATAGAGGGGATGTTTACATTTCATTTTAGATACTGCTGAACTGTTTGAAGTTATTTTTAGTGTTCATATACTCCTTTTCAAGTTGAAAATACTTGAGAAAATATTCAGAAAAAGAAAACATTAAAATAAGGAAAATAAGGACACGGACAATTTAAGGCATAGAGAAAGGGAAAAAAATGCATTTCATTTGGAATATGAAAGATCACATTTTATGAACAGTGTGTCAGGTTAGAGAAGAAGTGATCATAATATATAGATTGATCTTTTTCAAAGCTAGATTAGCCCTAATACAAAATCATATAAACTTCCTCACAATAATTTTATCTACATCTATAGACCCAGCAAATGTGCACATCTTCATTGAAAATACTGCCCCATATCATACATACTAGTTGGGCATCCTTGAACAATTCACTGCAAATTTCTACACTTGCCTATATTCTCCTTATCATGGAAATAAGCATGGGTGCCTATCCAACTATTAGTAATAATAACACAAATTGTAATGTGTTTGCAATTTATGCAAAATGACACAATGTTGACCCTAATGCTATTGGAGATCTAACTACATATCTGGAGAATAAAACATTAATTAACATGTTCAGAATACTTAGCTATCATCAAGTTGAAATGATACTTTTCCCATAGGAGTCTACATACTGCTTTCCAAATATAAATTTATTTTGAAAAGACTTGTATGCAGCCATAAAAAAGAATGAGTTCATGCCCTTTGCAGGGACATGGATGAAGCTGGAAGCCATCATTCTCAGCAAACTAACACAGGAACAGAAAACCAAACACCGCATGTTCTCACTCATAAGTGAGAGTTGAGCAATGAGAACACAGGGACACAGGGAGGAGAATATCACACACCGGGACCTGTCGGGGGGTGGGAGGCAAGGGGAAGGAGAGCATTAGGACAAATATCTAATGCATGCAGGGCTTAAAACCTAGATGATGGGTTGATAGGTGCAGCAAACCACCGTGGCACATGTATACCTGTGTAACAAACCTGCACATTCTGCACATGCATTCCAGATTTTAAAGTTAAAAAAAAAGATTTGTAAAGTACATATGCCCTATGGAGGCAGGTTAGTGTAACAGAAATTCTGGACTAGAACTCTGAAAATAGAGATTCTCATGTCAGTGCCACTCCTGCCCACTGTGATTGAGGGCAAACTAACCCTCAAGGTCCGTGCATTCTCAACTGAAACATTACCGAACAGTGGCTTCTAGCTTGCTGGCAATGCAGGACCGAGCAACAAGCCAGGAGATGCTTTGGAATAAAAATCTGGAATTTTAGGAGAAAATGCTGATTATCCATTTCAAGGTGGTCATAGCTAAAGAGATATATTCAGACTTTTTTTTTTTTTTTTTTTTTTTTTTTTTTTTTTTTTTTTTTGAGACGGAGTCTCACTCTGTCGCCCAGGCTAGAGTGCAGTGGCGCGATCTGATCTCGGCTCACTGCAAGCTCCGCCTCCCGGGTTCACGCCATTCTCTTGCCACAGCCTCCCGAGTAGCTGGGACTACAGGCGCCCGCCACCACGCCCAGCTAATTTTTTTCTATTTTTAGTAGAGACGGGGTTTCACCGTGTTAGCCAGGATGGTCTCGATCTCCTGACCTCGTGATCCACCCCCCTCGGCCTCCCAAAGTGCTGGAATTACAGGCGTGAGCCACCACGCCCAGCCTATATTCAGTCTTGATATGCCCATATCCATAAGGTAAAAGATAGGGAGGCTTTTAAGTAACCGACTGTAACCCTTCTCTCTTGGTGAGTTAAATGGCCTGGCCACATTGATTTGACTTAAATATCTTTGGGTGTGAGTTATATAATCTATATCTCTCTTGTCCAAAGGAATTTGTTTAGAGCCTTCTGCTATCAAATTATATTCTATTGTCAGAGTGCTGATGCTCAGATGTGTTATAATGTGGTGATGGTTTTTAAAGAGTTGATTTATTACAAGGAAAGATGAGTCAGCCTGGCTGCATGACACACCCAGGATGGGAAAATGGCCATGGACAGGTTTGTATAGACACAGAGAGAGTAAGTCCAGAAATTAGAGTTTGTTTTCAATTAAGAGAGAGTAGGAAATTCAGGTTTCTGTGGAATTTCCCTAAAAGCCCCTATTCTGGGGGATAACTTGATGAATCAGGAGACAGATACAAAAATTTGATGGAGAGAAGTATAAAAAGAGCACGTAGATTATCAGGAAGATAATCACAGCCTTCAAACAATATAGAAATGGAAAGTTTAAGCTTCTAAATGGCAGAAAACAGCCAACCATGTCTCCAGTGCCAACCATGCCCCTGGTACCTAGCAGAGTGCCTGTGTACATAGGTCCTCAATAAATAATTGTCAAATAGGTGAGATGTCCCTGACTACTGTATTACTAATGGGGCTTTAGCCTTCTACATTCTTTTTTCTATGATGGAAATAAACTCAAATTGAGACTAAAGAGGTTAGAGGAGGGAACTTAGAAAAGGAAAGCCAGAAATATATTTACATGTGCCCAAACCTTTAAATGAAATGCTTTGGCAACAGGCAAAATATATTATCACCAAGATGTTATAATCTGAGACTCTGGCTCCTTGACAAGAGTGTTGCCACTGTCTGTCCTGCAGGTTCAAGAGAGCTGAGACCAGCACTGCTGAAAACCACTTTGAAGGCAAGAGGAAAGCAGTCATCTCTTTACCACACATACTTGGGTCATCAGAACTTAGGATTAAATCTTCAGGGCTATTTGAGGAATCATCAGCCATTGGCATTTCCTACTCACTGCTGACTCCAAGAAGCAACAAATTAGGGGAAAATAGAACTGAACAAATAATGGAAGTACAAATAATGGAAAACATATTAATGAGGAAGGATAAAACCTTGAGTATTCAAACTGTTCTTCTTGATTACATTTTGGGATGGTTCTGCCCCTAAGTAGGGGCAGGAGGGGAAGGAGGAAGAGCCTTTTCCCATTTCCAAGAAATGCCCTTCACTTTTCTTTTACCAGCAGTTTATGTGTATTTGCTTTCCGGCTGGGTCCTGATAAGCTTCAGAGTCAAGAACTCTTCTAGGCTTATGTGAGATACAAAGCAAATTGTTACAGCAGTCTCAGCCTCTCAAGTTGCTGACAGTACTTTAACAAGAGCTTGCAGTTCAAGCTTCCCTGTCCTTGTTTCTGGTTGAAGTCTCACAGCAATGATATGACTTGTGCAGGGCAGGGACTATTAATCACAGTTTAACAGATAAAGAAACAGGACTTGGCAATAGCCACATCTGGGATAAAAACCTGATATCTGTGACTATTAATTCAGTGAGTTTCCTGCTGTATCACAGAGGAAGCATGGCATGACTGGAGACAGCTTTGCATAAGGGTTACAAGCATGACATCTAGAGTTGCACTGATCTGGGTTTGAACCTTGATTTGGCCATTCCCTAGCTGTGTGACCAAGCAACACACTTAAGCTCTCAGAGACTTAGTTTTCTTACAGGTAGAATGGTGAACAACAACAACATATGACATATGAGGATTAAAGGAAATGATATATGTAAATGTTAAGAATAAAGTCTGCTGTAAAACAACCCTTCATGAATGTAGTGTTTATTAGTGTGATGAGAAGGGAAACTACACAGCAGCTGAAACATAGTCTCAAGGCTGAATGGCAAAGCAGGGGTGCCCCATAGGGATTCAGTTTTGGAGGAGAAGAAAGAAGGTGAACATGAATCCTAACTTGGACATCTATCAGTGATGTAGGCATGCCATTTAACCCTTTCTCAATCTAAGTCTTCTAATTTGTAAAATAGGGAGACAGATGTATACTGGGTTGTAATGAAGAGAAGCATAAATTCACATGAAATATATTGCACAGTATCCGGTATATAGCTAATGTTCAATAAATGATAGCTTTGAAAGATATTGATCATTATTCAATATCATTGTTCAATATCATTCATAATGATAGAAGCTCTTGTCTCATTATATTTTCCAATTTTGGGAAATAAGACACACACACACACACACACACATCAACACTGTGATAGAATTATGGATAAGAAACTTATGATTTCATTAAACATAATGATATTGGTAAAAGATAGGACTCAGGAATAACTTCTGCAGAGTCCCTATGAAGCTATTGTACACAAAAATAAAATACCCATGATATCACATGGAACAGCACACTGAAAATATATATCCTGAATCAGTAACAACATTCTTTTAGATTTTTCCAGTTACTATCTCCCTTTAAAAATTTTTCATACTGCTATTATTTTATTTAGCTAGAACGCCAACAGAGATATACATCTTTCTGTGTTTTGTTCATGATAATGTATTTTTTAAATGGTTAGATGCCTTTCTACCTTTTAGAGGTAGAAATTGTGGACGCTTGTCTTTCAGGTCTTACTTCATCTCAGTCCTTCTTAAATATGTCCCAGCTATCCTTACTGATACCACCACAGTGTCCTCTCCTCAAGGTTTGAAATTCAGTAAGAATCATTTAAGATTCTTGAACGTGCAATGTCAATGTTGCCGTGAGGTTGTCCTGCACTGGGAATGGACTTCAAGGAACCCAGGCAGCCAGGAGTAGCACAACTGTCTGGCAGCATGCATGGCATGGAACGGCCCCTTCCATAAGAGGTAGTCAACACATATCCCATGAGCAGACTGGATCCCACTTCCCAAAGTCCAAGCTGGAAAATGCTAAAACATTTAAAGAGTGATATGATTGCTTTTCATTTGCCTGACTGACCCAAGAGGCAGTGGGATACGTGTAGTTACACCTTCGCAGAGTGTAATGAGGTCAGTTACATTGAAAAAGTTTATAGAAACATCCTCAAGTGGACTGGAAAGTTCTTGCTATATCAGCTCTCCTACTACCCCTCAAGTCCAACTATAGGGAATTTCGTAGTCATGGATATCTTGCTTAAATCTGATGCCAAACTGGTCTTGCTTAGATGATGAAATTCAGGATTTGGACAATATAAGGAGTTGACTAGTACAAATATATAGACAGTTTGCATTGTATAAGAAAAAATGCAAACTTTTCTAAAAGGCTTCTAGTGGAATGTTATTTTTACATAATTTAGTTTTTACAAATTAAAGATGTTTTGTGTTAAAAACTACTTGCCCTAAACCCTGTTTTTCTAGGGATAGCTTAATTATATATTAATAAAACTCCCAGAAACTTGAATTCTTAATGTTTTGATACAAATATTCACACCAATGCAGAGACTCAAGATACAAGCAAGAGCAGTTTGTTAACTGCCACTCAGAGGAGTGTTTTAGATGGGATCGATATTGAGATAAGACCCAACAGGGCAATGAAGCAGGTGAGGTGAGTAGGTGAGCCATGCAGATGGGTGGTCAGATTCTGTGTTTAATATTTGTATATTTTGTTTATTATGGATGTTTGCGTTGATTTTGCTTTTCAAAAATTAAGTATTAAAATATGTATCTTTATTACGAGATTTTTGGCACCTCTTAAATTTTGCACCTCACCTGCCTTACCCTAATTTTGGCCCTGGATTAAATTATTGATCACAATTCTTCATATGTCTGCATTAACATTCTTGCCAAGTTTTCAAGGTGGGTGGAAGTTACTTTCCACCCCTGGACTTTGGGCTTGGCCAAGGTGGATGTTTGCAGATGGAATGTAAGAAGAGCTGAAATGTGTTTGCATTGTGGAGCTTTCTCCCTTGAATTTCTGCTATCACCATGGAAAGAAAATGCCTCAGGTAGCTGTAGTCCCTTCTGCCTATGACCCAGAAGAAGCACACAGGGCAGACTTGAACCCAATCTACGATCTAAATCCCATAGCCCAGATGAACTGCCACCAACCCAAAGACCCATCATCTTGAGAAAAAAAAAATGTCATTTTAAGTTGCTAAGTTTTAGGTAGTGTGTTAGACAGTATTATTGCGGCAATACCTACGTAGTACAGAAGGGAAATAGGAAGTATGCTTCTCTACCTCCACCATACATTTTTCTAAAAAACAGTTCATTTCACTTATCAACAAATGTTTATCATGCAACTCAATCTAATAAGCACTGGAATTACAGAGATGGATTAATAGGCTGATCTCTGGTCATCAGAAGTTTACTGTCTTGTAGGGAAAAGGCTGTAAACAAAGAGGTACAATTAGTTGTTACAGATGCTGCTATGTAAATCTGTACTTGATTCAGTGGACACAGAGTTTAAAAGTTGTTAAACCTACCTGGAGAGAAAAATGGAAGAGGTGATGACTATATTGAGTCATACCAAATTGTAAACCTAGATGTTCACAGAGGCCAGATGAATACAAAGGAAGGCAGGGGAACTGTGACCTGAAGAGCACATGTTCCTCTAGCAGGGAAGTTGCCCCTTAGCCCCGGCCAATTGTTACTAGTCAGGAATGGAAGTTCCAGGTTGCCATGTCTTCTAGTTTTCCAGAGGAATTCAGATGATTCTGCAAAATTTTCTAATTCAAAACTACTGGCCACGAATTGAAGCTATTTCTACTTACTAGGCCAAAACAAACAAAGCCTGTAGGCTACATTTGGACGTTAGGTTGTCAGTTTGTGACCCATGGTTGACAAGCAGTGGACAGCTTGGGGGAGGCTGTGTCAGCTTGTGCACTGCACAGAGGTCTCTGCCCAGGGACAAGTGGAGCTGACATCCAGCCTTCAGCTCAGCTCTCTAAGCCAGTGCACACTGGCAGTGCCAGCATCAACTCAGAAGAATTGGTGCTCTTTTTTGTAATTTGATTAAAGGCATTTAGGGGCATTTCTAAAAATTCATTTCATGTCTTAAGAGCAACAATAATAAAGCAATAATAGAAATAATGAAAATGTCTAATGCCCTAGAAATGAACTTCTAGTTATCTGTAATTTTAGATATCCTCTCTAATATGCCAGATAGCATATTTATTTCCTCTAACGACTATGCAAATTTAAGTCTAGGAATAATTTATAATATTCTTTCAGAAAGCAGACTGTGTTCATATATTTTCACTATTAAATTTGTGTAGTGTAGAAAAATGTGTTTAGAAGAAACATAACACATTTACCTTTCTATAAAGATCATCTATCTTAAGCATTGTTCATATAAATCTTAGAAAGGTATTTTTTCTTGTTAAAACCTAAGTTCATATTTTTAAAGGAAACAATAGCACCAGCAACAGAGGTTGGGGGCATAATTGTCAAATTATTTTTAGAGGTTACTTTGGAGAATAATTGTCAAATCTAGCAGGAATGTGTGACTGGTCTTCATTTATAAATGGCATGTCACAATATGGTAACATGATATTTATCCCATATTGTGCAGAAATTGAGTATTTTAGAACACAAGTGGATTTCACAGCTCAAGGTTACCACTTCAAATGCCCCCAAGAAAGATGATGAGAAGCTATTTGAGATATATGATTTATCTGCCTTCATAAACAGACTAAAATAAATAGACAACTAAAACTTTGGATACTCTTTTCTTATCATAAATACCAACTTATGATGTAATAAAACAGAGCCTTCAGTGGGAGATGAAGTTGTTGATCCACACACTAAATGACCCTTGATCAAGTCTACAGTCCAGTGGTTCTCCTGTATCAGAATCACCCAGATGAAACAGATTGCTGATTCTCTTCCTGTATAGTTTATTTTCAGTAGCTCTGGGGTAGAAGGGGGAAGATATCCAAAATTTTGCATTTCTAACCTATTTCCCATGTGATCCTGTTTCTGGTCTGGAGACTACTCTTAAAGCTCCAGTGCTATAGACTTCTTTTGCTTTTTAATACATTTTTTACCTCCCACTCCTTCTCCTGTCACTTATCAGGGCTTTCTATATGCTTTTGCTTGTAAAACTCTTAAAGAAAAACTGGGACTTCTCTGGCTTCTTCGGACAAATATTGTGCCTTTAGGCTCAGATTTTATTTGCAGCAATTGCACAGCTAGTTTTGGATGCAGAAACGGTGCTGCAGTTCCAGGTCCTGAGTGATCCTGCCTTTAACTTTCAGCCTTAGCTGAACTCTGGAATTCGAAGTATCATTTCCTACAAAGTATAGACAATCCCTCAGATCTAACATCCTAAGTTATCTTCTCAGATTGCCAAAATATTGTTCTCATCGTAATAGGCAAACATGGATTTTAAGCATCACATTACCAGGGAAGCGTCTCTTCTTCCATCACTTTTCTTATTCCTTGTGTAAAGTGAGACTGAGAAATGTTATTAGAATGATTTTTTATTTTACTATTTAAAACCCAAGTTAGTTGTCAAACTTTGATATTTTCATTAACCACTAGTTGTCAAGCCAGAGGTGGTGGCTGATGCCTGTAATCCTAGCACTTTGAGAGGCTGAGGAAGGCAGATCACTTGAGGTTAGGAGTTCGAGACCAATTTGGCCAACATGGCAAAACTCTGCCTCTAATAAAAATACAGAAAAAAAGTCGTTAGCCGGTTGTCGTGGCAGGCACCTGCGGCCCCAGCTGCTCAGGAGGCTGAGGCAGGAGAATCACTTGAACCCAGGAGGCGGAAGCTACAGTGAGCCAAGATCACACCACTGCACTTCAGTCTGGGTGACAGAGTGAGACTCCATCTCAAACAAAACAAAACAAACAAAAAAAAAAACCATAAATTGCCAGTCCTTTGGAAAATTACAATTTACAACATAAACTCAGAATATCCTCTACAGTTTTTATGAATGCCAGAAAATAAAAATAAATGTGAAACATTCATTCTTGTCTTAAAATATTTAAATTTTAACTGTAAATACATATGGTCCTTGTGTAAATGATGCAGAAAGTGCTTTCATGCATCAATTAAAAAAACACAGCGATATAGAGATTACAAAACATTTTTACTGTTTGTACCCTTGAACTCTCAGATGTACTCTTCAAATAGTTCACTAAACATCAGTCATTCTCTTGCCATGTCACCTTCTACTTCTGTCACTGAACAATTAACATGCTTATATGGACATGATTAAATATGCACAGTAATTACAGCAGATAGGATGAAAAATCAAAGGAAAATTTCAAAAACAATTCTACATAAAGAAAATGTACCTGGCATGAAAGTACTATTATTAATGAAATCCAAAGGAGAAAGAGGCAGCAGAAATAATGGCATTCTAAATTCTCTATCAGCCTTTCATACATTTAAATACCTATTTCTATCAGTCTAAAGTTAATTGCTTGTAAAATTTATAATAGTGCTTCTATCTTCTGAGTTGCACTAAAATTAAAACAAAAACTATATAGTAAAAGATACAAACAAACATCAAAATGGTATTAAAACAAAAGAGGTATAAATAACAAAGAGGAAATAATCACAATAATTTGAATGCATACTCTGTGGCAGGCATTTTATTAAGTATTTTATATCTACCATTAAATTAAAATCTTCATACAACTTTGTAATATAGCTAATAAACAGTATCAATATTCAAAGCCAGACCCTGTTTGCTTCAAATATCTCATGATAATTATTTTGTATGTGACAACAAATATGAACAAGCCAAACCCTCCTTGGAAAAGGCAAAATATTTCAAATTGGTAAGTGATATGGTTTGGCTCTGTGTCCCCACCCAAATCTCATGTTGAATTGTACTTCCATAATTCCTACATGTTGTGGGAGGGACCTGGCGGGAGATAATTTGAATCATGGAGGAGGTTCCCCCATGCTGTTTTCACGGTAGTGAATAAGTCTTACAAGATCTGATGGTTTTATCAGGGGTTTGTGCTTTTGCATCTCTCTTTCTCTTTTGCCACTGCCATGTAAGAAGTGCCTTTTGCCCCACCATGATTCTGAGCCTTCCCAGCCATGTGGAACTGTAAGTCCAATTAAACCTCTTTTTCTTTCCAGCCCCGATTATGTCTTTATCAGCAGCATGAAAATAGTTAGATATGAACAAACATAGGAGGCACCCACATGCTATTAAAAGACACACCTAAAACAGTCTTTCCATACTAAATAGTATTAAAATATAAAACAAAAGGCATTGGAAATAAAATGGGATATTTAAAGAAATAATGTATTAGAAAAGTGGTTACTTCATGAGTTGAACAAACTTGAATATTAAACCAGATTAAGACAGAAAACAAAAGATGTATAGACTAAATTAATTTTAATATATAAAAACCCTAAACATGGATAAACTGAATTTTACATTATATTAGTATTTTCATATTATTTTGATTAAAAAATACCTATCTCAAACCAACAGTCTACATAATTAGTGGCAAAATCCTGCAGGCAGTAATTACTTTTAAAAATCAGAAAATGGGCCAGGCGCAGTGGCTCACACTTGTAATCCCAGCACTTTGGGAAGCCAAGGTGGGCACACCACCTGAGGTAAGAAGTTCTAGACCACCCTGGCTAACATGGTGAAACCTTGTCTCTACTAAAAATACAAAAATTAGCCGGGCATGGTGGCAGGTGCCTGTAATCCAAGCTACTTGGGAGGCTGAGGCAGGAGAATTGCTTGAACCTGGCAGGCAGAGATTGCAGTGAGCCAAGATGACACCACTGCACTCCAGCCTGGGTGACAGAGCAAGACTCCATCTCAAAAGAAAAAAATAAAATAAAAAAATAAACATCAGAAAATATGAAATATATAAACTACATGTAAGTAGTACAGTGAAATATTAATAGTAGTCTCTTTGGTGAATGAAGCTACATGTAATTTTTGTCTACTTTTCTGTATTTTCAAATTTACCTATAATGCTTACATGTTTCTTTAATGACAAAATATTTCCTTTTAAAAGGAAAGCAAATATAAATGTATACATGTATATGCATATATAGTGTGTGTATATGAGCGCATTTTTACATATATGCATACAAGTGTGTATATATATATATACACACACACACACACAAACATGTATATATGTATGTTAAAGAATATTTAAAAACTATAATACGGTATTAGTCATCAATTCCTGGACTTCATTTTTTATAAAGATGCATAATTTTTCATATTGCCCTGAGTACTACCTTTATTAAACACTAAAATATCCATAATAATCTACAGCTTCCCTTTTATAAACCATTTGGAATCTCATCTTCCATAAATATATATTTTTTTGTTCCTGATTATCTTTCCAGTTCATGAACCCTCTAGAAGGGAACAGCATCAGTAAATTTACTATAGGCTATATTAAAAAGACTTAAACTTTTTTTCTTTGTCCTAAAAGTACCTTCAAGCTTCAGGAGAGTTCTCCTACAGTATTCTTGAATTTGTTGAACAAGTCCATGTTTCAGTTACTAATATCCTTCATGGTCAGGAATTTGATTGTGTCCCTTTTCACCCATCATTTTTCTGTGCTGAAAATTTCTCATCTGGTCTTACTATAATATTTCATTCCTTTGATCATTTCAGTTAACCTTTGAGGCCTTTCCAACTGCCTTATGACCTTACCAGAATGTACTCAGTAGAACTTTGAACTCTACTCCAAGTACTAAAATACTACTCTGTTCAAACATAAACAACATCTTGTAATTCTGCTTTCCTCCAGTTTTATCCTGGTGATCTCTGGCATTTGATTGACCTTTTGAACTGCCACACTCCATTGGACTGTCTTCAAGGGATAGCTGACATCAATTAAGATATCTTTTCTTCTAGAAATAAGTGATAGCAGAAAGAGTACATCATCATATCAGCATAGTTTGTATTATATTTCCCTAGATATATTAAATTACACTTTCCACAGCTGAAATTTATCTGCTATTATTTTCCCCATTCACACAGCTTTACCAAATATTCTTGTCTCCCCAGCTAGAACAGCTTCAGAGTCATCTGCAAACTTAAAGATCTGTCTCAGTGCAGTCATAATGGCCCATCCTCCAGGGGAGCACATTCTACCAATCAGCGTAAATAGAATCATGGTGGAGCTACTTTTGTTCTACTTTGGGCTTAGTCCAATTTCATGTTCTGTCACTAATCTTATGTACACAAGGGATATTTTAAGAATTTGAGTGAAAGTGGTCGAGACAAGAAGATCTAGTCTGCCTGAAGGCTATCTACCCCTACTCTGACTTCTTACTCTGGTCTCTGCCTCGACTGTTCTTCCTTATCATGATGCCCCTCCCTTATACTCCAATTTTAATAAGAGATCCATCATTTTATACAAGGCCTACTAAACCTACTTTTGTTCGTTGGTTTGGTTTCTGAATATAAATGTCTTGCCTTACTCTTGTTAACATTCCATTTCCTTTACTTACCACCAGATGGTCTTCCTTTTCTCAAAGCAGTGTTTAAGAATCACTTGGAAGACTTACTAAGGCACAGTTTCCTGGGACCCAACCCTACAGGTTCTGTTTCAGCAGGCTGAGGTGAGGCCAGTGAATTTTCATTTCTAAGAGGCTCATGGATGATGTCAATGCTGCTGGTCTGAAGACCACACATTGAGAAATACACATTATACAAAGATTACACCAAATTGCACAATGTTCTATTTTTTGTTTGACAGAAGAATCCCTGATAATCTACTTGTTTGACCAGCTCATTTGGGTTATCCTGGTATTCTTTTCTGCACCCAAGGGCCCCCTATTCTTTCCTCTGACCATGGTATGAGAAAGGAAAACAATGTCAATTCAAGTTCTACTTTCTGGCATGATGATGATGATGATGAAAATGATGATAATGAGGAGCCTCAATTTCTTCATCTTTAAAGTGGAGAGAAAAATAAATATTAAAAATAGTATCTCCATAATATATTGAGACTATGAAAAGAGAAATCAAGGCATTGTGCAAAGTGCCTGGCACATAATGGGTGCCCAATAAATGTCTGTTATGAAAACATCAATGTGGATGATGATGGTAACAAATCATTCAGAGTTTATTTATTTATATGTTTTTGGGGACATAGTAAGTAAAACAGTACATAAAATAAGGACTTCACTCCAGTGGGGTTTATATTTCACTGGGGAGACAAAAAAACAACAGTTAATAAACAAGTAGATAATAACAGACTGTGATAAGTTATACAAAGGAAAATAAATAACTGCATAACAGTAACTATGAGAGATGGTCTTAATCAGAATGGACAAGGACAACCCCCATAAAAAGGTAGCATTTGGGCTATGATCCAGTCGAAGAGTCAGCCACAAGAAGAGCTGAGAGAAGAGAATTCTAGACATATGGGGAGCTTCCCAAATATCCTGAGACTGGGAATTGTTTAGTGCATATAAGGGGAAAGCAGGAGCTATATTGATAGATCCTAGTGAATAATGGTAGAATGTGATGAAGTTAGAAAGGTGAAGACAAACCAAATCCCACAGTGGTTTGTAGGATGTGATAGAGAGATTGTAGTTTAGTCTAAGAAAAAAGTGGAAGTCCCTTGAGAGTTTCTACGAAGGTGCATCCCATGATTAACCTCTTCACAAGATCATACTGGATGAAAATGGGTTATAGAAAGGCAAGAATGGAAGAGAGACAAGTTAGGAGGTTTTAGGACTGGTCCAGGTTATGAATAAGAGCAGTTGGATGGGGGAAGAGATAAGGTGGGGGAAGTCAGAATGAAGACAAGTGGACAGATTTGAAATATATTTTGGAGATTGAACTGTTATGGATTTAATGTAAGGTATAAGAAAAAGAGGGCTTAAGGCTGATGACTAGGTTTAATATATTGCAACACTGAGGCCATATTCATTAAACCAAATCCTATTTACTTATTTTGACAGTTTTCATATGTATTATATATGTGAGTGATTAATATTCCTTCTTATCCAAAGCTAACTTAATTGTGAATGCTTATTTTCTGGGTTATTTTCTTAATAACTTACAATGTTGATATTTTTCTTAGTATTTGGCAAGGTATAAATAATGATACTATGATTCTTGAGCTCCCCTCAAGAAAGTCTGTAGTATTTTTAGCTCAAATTATTTTTCTTAAATAATAATAGTGTATATTTCTAGAATGCTTCACATGTTCCAGACCCTGGTTCAAACCCAAACAACTAGGATGTACAGCTTATTGCCACTACCAGACATCACTCATCTTCTCTCACTACTATTGCTCTACTCCCACTTCCACAGTTTGGTTCATGATCACATATGCTGTGATAAATCTCACTGTCTTGCTTAATTAAGTTCTAATGTCTGTCTTTAGAATTACAATACCTATGGTATGAATCTTTATCACAGATTTTTTCCTCCACCTTGAGTTTTTCTAAAATATTAGCAGATATGAAGAGTCACTGACCTCAGCCAAGCATCAAACTTATGACACATGATCTGAATGAGACTTGCTATTCTGAGTTTGAGTAATCACGGAGAATGCGTGTCATAACAATGTATTAAAAAACAATGATTATGATGCCACTTATAAAGTATTTGTGTATCTAGGCACTGAGCTGGAGTTGCCTTGAACATGGACTATTTCACCGGGTCTAATCTTGGTAACAACTCTGCAGGTTAGGTGTCACTCGCTCACTGTACAAAGTTTAGAGTCCGAATGATATGTCATGGCCGCTTACCCAATAACACCCTCAAGTGTACACTGGAGTAGGTTGGAGGAGTAAAAAAAGTCACAAGTGGCAGAAGGAAGAGGTATGGATAGAATTTAAGACAAAAGTCACATTGGCTGGGTGTGGTAACTCATGCCTGTAATCCCAGCACTTTGTCCTGGCTGAGGATTACTGACTCCAGGGGTTCAAAACCAGCCTCGGCAATATAGTGAGACCTCAACTCTACAAAAAAATTTTTTTTAAATTAGCCAGGTGTGGTGGTGTGCACCTGTAGCCCCAGATACTTGAGAGACTGAGGCGGAGATAGCAGTGAGCAGAGATCACGCCACTGCACCTCAGCCTGGGAAACAGAGAGACCTTGTCTCACCAAATAAAGTCACAATCATACAAATGCTCTTGATTTTAGGGGAGATAACTGATAAGCATAAATTGTCCATTAAACAAAAAGGCTTACAGTGGAAAATGGGAACTGAATTGTTCCTCCATTTACATGGAAGGGAATGAGGAGGTAGTAGGTTGGTACAAAAATAATTGTGTTTTTGCCATTGCTTTTAAGGGCAAAAACCACAATTACTTTTGCACCAACCTAATAGGAAGAAGAAAAACTCATTCACTGCTATCTTCTTCTGAGTCAAGAATGTCATATATTATTTTATTGTTTTAAAAATAAGAAAAATCTCCCTCTTTGCATTCTACCTGCCTGCACATATATACATAATGACTCACTGTAACCTCAGAGAAATATAAACACTCATATACCACGGGTGGAATGTGAAATTGTGTCACTGGTTTAAAACACCATCTGGTAGTTCCTCAAATTACCAAGCATTGTTTGGTAATCCAGCAATTCTACTCCTTTGGTGATTCCCTGCTCAAATACACTATACTTAAAATAAAAATGAGTCCATACCTTACTACATAAAGTTACTGAAATGATTGCACCAAGATATATTGAATAAAAAATCAGAAAAACATTTATTTAAAAGTGTATGAAGAAATGGCATATATTGCTCCCTAGTCTTTGAAAATTGGCAACCATAACTGATCCTAACTCTTGCTGACTTTGTTTAAAACATTTCTGTCTAATGTGGTTTGAGTCTTATCACAGAGTCAAACTCCTTCTGGGATGATGTCTACTTCCGTTTCTTCAGGGCAACTTTAGCATAAAATGCCCTCTTGGGCAGCTTTCCACCACTGTCAGCAGTTCTCCTCCTTGTGAGCCACAGATTGTCAATTCACCTTGCTTAGATTGTTAGGGATAATTAAAATTATATTCTTAGATTGCCTTTTTAATGGTCTGTATTAGTACATAGACTTTGCTTTTCCCTCGGGGGCCTCTACTTCATTTGTCCAAGAAAGAAAAAATTAGACTCATCATCATCTCAATAATATATGCAAAGCAATGCTCACATTATTTTCTCCAGTGGAAGGGAGAAAGGAAAGGGAGGGCCCAGCACACAGTAGACTCTCAAATAAATATTTGTGTAATAAATAAACCTATCCTACCACCAATCCAACTTGTATTTCCATTACCAGTTCTAACTCCCAACTGAAATAACGAATCATTTTGCTACCAACAAACAGTCTGAACTTACATTGTCTCTTCTTCTAATTCATATAAATATTCAACAGAATCTTTTAAACATATTTTGCACTTAATTTTGCATACCTTTTGACAACCAGAGTTTCAGCTGAGGAAAATAACTAAGATAAGTAATCTGCATAGCAATGGGAAGAAGCACCTAATAGGTGGGATTTAATAGTTTTCTTGATTTAATTCTGCCTTATATTACACACCTGTATCCTACATTTAGGATCAAAACCCTACATACAAAAACTCTCTTAACTCATTTCAGTATGATTCATTTGGTAATTACATTGTAGAGGATAATCAATACAAACGTACCTAAGGCACTTCTTTTATGACTATTATCATTAAATGTATATGACTGAGGAGTCCTGTTAATAAGGGCAATTACAGATATATGTAAAATTTAAGGACTGCTACGTAGGCAGAGGCAATGATGTTGTAAATTCAAAAGAACTCCATTCAAAATAAGAATTACACATTGCAATAAAAAGATAAATATTATCTTAACATATTTTATTATAACTACTTCCCATTTATGGCAAAGAGCCTAAACCTAAAACTCAACATGGTTGATCTACCAGCAAGCTGAAGTAGGAAGAGACTGAACACCCAAGTCTGAGGTAGATGAACCACTAACCTCAAGCAAATGGATAGGTAAAATTTGGCCAATAATACATGCTCAAAAAATAGCAGCTAATATCACATATTGTTCCGTAAAAAATAAAATTAAAGCCTATGCAAAAAATAAAAGGAAAAAAGCCATATCAATTTTGAAGTATATGTTTTCTTCCATTTCCAAACAAATCTGAATTGATGGTGTGTGAAGATATACATGCTTGTTTGTAGTAAATTGAATTCATAGAGCATATCTGAGAATTGATTTAAAAAAGAATACAATTTCATCACAGTTAATGATATATTTACTATTAAATTGATATAGGTCATTTATAAATATAAGACCTAAAATATATATCATACCTTACACTTAGTAATTATTAAATAAAGGGATGATAGCGAACAAAAATAAGATGAAAGGACATCAAATTTATAAGGATCTAAGAACTACACAAGACCTATTATGTAAATGAGCAATTATTTTTGATCCACTGCTATTGTAAATGGGAATTTTTTACACTCCTAGAAATCTAAGATTATTTGTGCTACCAATATGTAAGCAATGTTGATAATATAAGTCTTCATTGTTGCTCACTTTTGATAAAAAAGACCAAAGAATCTTTTTAGCAGTTGTTCTATTTTTAGTGATTGTTCTGTAACGCATACAGCATCTACCTTTTCTGTAGTTGTGTTAGTCTTCTTAGACTGCCATAACAAAATACAACAGACTGGGTGGCTTAGACACACAAATGTACTTTCTTATAGCTCTGGAGATTAGGAAGTTCAAGATCAAGGTACCAGCAAAGTTGGCTTCTAGTAAGGGTCCTCTCCCTGGCTTCCAGACAACACCTTCTCTGTTCTCACATGGCCTTTTCTCTCTGTGCAAGGGTGGAGAGAGTGCTCCAGTAACTCTTCTTCTTAAAAGGGCATTATTCCTATTGGATAGGCATCCCCTCATTATGACATCATTTAATTTTAGTTACTCATTTAAAGAAAGGCCTTTCTCCAAATACAGTCACATTGGGGGTTAGGATTTCAACATATGAATTTCGAAAGGACATAATTCTGTCCATTGCAGTGGTCAATGAAAAAATCATGAATCTCAATGGAAAGCTTACAAAACATTTCGATAGGAAGTTAGATAATTTATATTTTATGCACATTCAATTGCATTTCTTATGCTTAAAACTCAGATAACATAGATAAAAATCTAAGGGTTTGAGTGATCAAAATGTAGAAGACATGGCTTCTGTTTTTAAGTTTCTCCCTATCTAGCTGTGAAGAAAGCATGAACAGCAAGGTGTAGAAGCACAGAAAAAAGTGAAATACATAAAACACATCACAAATGGACATCATCTTTTTCCCACAGAGGGATGTCTATGTTTCTAGAGATTACTGCCAAAGAAATTTCAATGTATCACTAGATATTGTTATATTGATCACTAGATATTGTTATATTGATCACTAGATACTGTTATATTGATCACTAGATATTGTTATATCAATCGCGCCATAATTCATGAGAACTACGTAGGGACTAGTTGCTGTTATGTACATTTTATAGATAATGATAATTGGATATGAAAAAGTACATAGAATATTTTAATATTTGTGACATTTGGGATGTCTTGGTTTGTTTAGCTAGCTTAATCTTTCCAACTGGCTTTAGGCTTCTCATGAAGGCTAGGAGGGGATCTTATATTACTTTATTTCCCAGAACACCCAAAGCTGTGCCTGATTATTCTGGAATCTCTCTCCTCTACTTTTCACACTCAAACGGACACCAAATCCTATGATAAAGTAATTATCATTGTTTTACAAACGAATAAGAAATTACTTAATAGGTGCGATGTACACTATCCAGGTGATGTTATACTAAAAGCCCAGACTTCACCATGATGGGAAATATCCAGGTAACAAAACTGCACTTGTAGCTCCTAAAGCTCTACAAATATGAAGAAAATAATGAAGGAATTGAAGATTAGAGGTTTACATAGCTGGCTAAAATTAAATAGCTCACAAGCCACAATCAGAAATCTTTCCATATGTTTCCACTGCCCTTAAGATAAATCTAACCACATGAGCAAAATACTCAAGACCTATATGGATTCTCCCATCCAGCATCAGATTCCTTTGTACCCACAATCTTTAGTCACATAATTCACTTCCCGTTCCCCATCCCGCTTATTTCCAGACCTTTGCACATTTACTACCTCCTGTCAGATACTCTCCCCTCAACACTCCCTCCCCCATTCTCATACTCTCCCCTCACCACTCCCTCCCCCATTCTCTCATCTTTGTTGCATTCTTTATTCAGGGTCCCTTGTCTTCCTCTTTCTCAACAGCTCTTCGGCCTTGTTAGCAATTGCCTGCTTCTTGTCTTTTTCCCTACCTATCCTTGAGGCTTGGATCTGTGTCATATCTTCTTATGCCCAAAGACTACTTGGCGGAATGCTTAGTACACAAGAGGCACTCAACAGTTGGTTGCTAGTTTTCTACTCACACTGTGGTTCAGCTGCATATCTAGGACTAGAAACTATATTCATTAGCTCACCGTATATCCAGCCATATGTTTCAAAATTTCCAAAGCATTTTGAGCAATGAGCTATTAAGGTGAACTTTTCCAGCTATCTTACAAAACAATAATGTTTAACAGGGGTATTTAACTTCACCCATATATCTTTATTTGGCCTCTTCTTAAATCACTTTTAAGATGATTTTTCTAGACCTTTCTGAATAGCTTAGTCTATTATCTATTTGCAGAATCAGAACCTCATTTAATGGTTGAGATAATCATATGCATTTGAAAGAAAATAATAAGTTTAAAGGGAAACTTTAGAAATAGAGAGTAAGTGCATGTATTGCATATATATGTATATACTATGTTTATGTATATGTATGCACATATACAAAAATATACGTGTGTATGTATATCTATATCTATATATAAATATTCTGAGTCTATCATCTTCAGGCTTATTGAACACATCTGTGTAAGGTGGACATGCTCAGCTCTATAGAGAGAACTCTACTTAACACATTCCTAGAGGGCAATTACAAGTTTTTTGTGTTGCTACACAACTGCTTTAAAGGGAATTCTAGAACCATTTCTGGAAAGTTCAAAGATATTTTTATTTTCTCACTGATGTTCAACTTAATGGCTCCTACTGAAGAGACCATCCTCAGTAAAGTTCCCACTCATCTCCACCTGTGTGTGTAAGGACAGTACACAAGGTTTGTCCAAAGCCTGGCACTTTGTAAAAGATCAAATCACTTTTTAAATTATGCATTTCTGCACTGATTCAGACATGGGATCAATCTAGACCCAAAGCAGTGGCAAATCTCTAGAACATTTATGGAGGACTGTCTTTCTTCCTGTGTGGAGCTGGGTAAAAGTTGGGGATGGGCAGATACAGAAAAGGATATGTTCACAATTATAGTCAGATTAAAATCCTTGAGCCAGAAAGCTGGACGTATTGAACATAAGAATGGAAAAATACCACTTTTGACTTCTTTTATAAAAGTTAGGTTTTAAAATAAATAATACAAGTAGTCATGGCTAAAATTAAATTAAAAAGTTGACAACAATATTCCAAGAGCCTCCTTCCACATTTTCTTCTTTAGGACTCCTCCCACCCCTGCCTCTTCGGGCTTTGTTTTCTATGAGAGTGGAGACTACCAACTCTTCATATCTTCCCAGAGTCCCTGTTTACATATAACATTTTCGTTTTTTCTTTTTTTAAATAAAAGTTTATTCAGACAGTATTAGGCCAACTGATTTTACGAATTGTAATTATACGAAGCCCACTGAAGCCAGGTTTCAGATGTTTCTGTAGTCTTCCCAGAACCTAGTGCAATCCTTGTACCCAAAAGGTGTCCACCAATACTTTATCGATGATTACTGTAAGTCAGAAATGCTACCATAAATGGCTATGATAAAGAAAATACCTATGAACTTATTTATATTTTATTTATTGTAAATAAGGTTGTCATTAATCTTGTCTAATAAAGATATCTCCAAAAAGCTTAATGATTATGGAATTTTCCATTTTTATTTTATAAGAAGGAAACAAAATGCTAAGCTTCAAATTATATTTAATGTATATTCACTCTGTAAAATTACTGAGGAGGGCAACAAAATGTCTTTTCTTCTAGTCTATAAAATGATATTCTACTTGAAAAGTCTGTTAGTTCATGAAGGTTCACATTCACAGACAGTTAAGTACAAGAAAGGACTGCAAGTTGAAAGGCAAAACAAGAGTCTAATAAAATGCGTGATTAAAGTTTTATAAGCAGAAGCTTGGATTTCTTGTGGGATTTTATCTTATGAAGAATACAAATATGATTAAATTCTTAAAAATTATGAAAAGTAAATTTAAATAACATTGATAATAAAGTTCTTTTCTTATCATCCATTTTAAGAAGGCAATAAATTCAATTTTTCATATAAACTCAGTCCTGCAGGATAATCCTAACTTTATATCAGAGTAGTCAAAGATTATTTCAAACATTATACAAATATTCATTTTTGGAGCCTTTTAGAATAATTAAAACAGCATATCAACCAAATCCTGAAGTAAATTATGCCTTCTAGAGTAGTTATAAATGATATAAAGTCCATGAGAGACCTTTAAAATATGTCCAATTACCAAAAAAAATCCCTTAAAAACAGACAAAAAGAACCAAGACCATGAAAACTCAAAATATAAACATATCACTATTTTTTAGAAATTAATCATGCTTCTAATTTAAACATTCAACATGTAATCCATAACCAGATTTTTAGAGATAGCATGGTTCATAGAATAAAAATGTAAGTCTAATGACAATGCTAGCAACCATGAAGAAAAAGATTTGGTGCCATATGCAAAATGTAAAAATGCAAAGGCATACACAACATAGTCAATATTATTCTTACATAAAGAGTTTCTGTAATCAATAAAATAAGGATAAATGTTTCAATAAATGTATGAAGGTCAAAAAAGACAGCAAATTCACAAAATGTAAAATGCAAATGTCCAAGAAAACTATAAAATGAAATCTTAATTTAATAGGAATATAAATACTTACAAGGAGACTCCATTTTATAAAATGTTTAGATATTCAAAATTGTGGGGGAAAATGCACTCTGAAGGGAGGCAAAGTTTTGCTCTGCCAGTGAGGGTTTAAGTATTTCTGGGATACTTTTCCTTCAGATATGAGCAAATAAATGACAAAGATACTTAAGGATAATTAACTTAGTGGGTTGTTTTTGTTTTTGTAGATACAGGATCTTGCTATGTTCCCCAGGATGGACTAGAGCTCCTAGGCTCAAAAGATCCTTTCCTTCAGATTCCTGAGTAGCTGGGACTACAGGTGCAAGCCACCACACCTCGCTTAATTAAAACTAAGAAACATGATAATGTTCCACAATATAAAGCTGAAGGTTGGGTGCGATGGCTCATGCCTGTAATCCCAGAACCTTGGGAGGCCAAGGTGGCAGGATCACTTCAGCCCAGGAGTTTGAGATCAGCCTGGGCAATATAACCAGACCCTGTCTCTACAAAAAAGAAGAAAAAAAGAAAAGAAAAAGAAAAGAAAGAAAAAATAAATAGCCAAATTTGGTCCAAGATACTTGGGAGGCTGAGAATGGAGGATCATCTGACACCACGAACTCAAGGCCACAACAGAGCAAGACCCTGTCTCAAAAAGAAAAAAAAATTAGAACTGGAGAAGATAGACATGTGCACAGGCACACACAAAGAAAGATGCCATGATTTATCCTGAAGTGAAAATGAGGATACAATATAGCATACATTTCACTTATATGGAGAAAACAAACGTGAGTGTGTGTGTGTGTGTGTGTGTGTGTGTGTGTGTGTGTGTGTGTGTTTGCAAAGTCCAGGTCTTTGGATTATGTGTATGTTAGCATAATCTCAATATTTTCTGAGTTTTAACATTTTTATTTATCTCATTTTTAAACCATAAACATGTCAACTTTTATACCTCCACATTTATTTTTCTGATTATACAAACGGCACACCACTTTGAATAAACAAGAAGTTACAGTAAAAAAAATAAGCAATACCCGATATTGAGTACACTTTTCACCTGCCTCTGTGTCTACAGATTCGAAGTATGGCAGTTGTTTTAACCTCATTTTCAAAGAACAGCTTGTATTCCTTTCTTCCCTGCTCCCCTGTCAGCCTTTCTGCTTTGTCAAGATCATTACATTACGGTCACGTATTTTATTTTATGTAAGTGACTAATTATTAACCAAACTAAAATTTAAAATTGTTCTTATTTACATCACATAAACCTGCTTTTTTTTATAGCTGTTTCAGTAAGATTAAAAATAAATAATAAAAAACGATGAATAGGAATGTGTGGAGCAGACAGGGCAGACAGTAAAGCATATGCCTAAGACTCTTTGGTCGGATGCCTGGATTTGGATCTGGATCCCCCCTTGGGATAGCCACTTATCTTTCTGTGCTAAAATGCCTTCGTTTGTAAAACGGGATTAAAAGTAGCACCTAAGGTTGGGGTGTGGATGTTGAATACTTCTGCCTCAATACTGATATTTTCTTCCCTAGAGAGGCAGCTCCTCGAGGGAATGACTTCTGACCTCACCACTCCCCAGTACCCACTTTTTCTTGGTTTGAGGGGAGCCTGGATCAGGATACATGACAGATAACTTAATGAGCCTGGAAGTTTGAAGAGACTCCTTTCACCTACAATTCTCTCTTGGGAACAGGCCTGACCAAAGAGAGCAAGTGCTCTCCATTGCCACCAGCCACCAAGCAGTGGGACAAGCTGACACCTGAGTGACATCCTGCCAATATAGACACTGCCCATGTCCAGATGGGCATGTGCCTCCCATGCAGATGCAAACCATGGTCAACGGCAGCTTCTTCAACAAATTAAGGTGATGTTTGACTTACCCTATGCCTTACTGCTGTTCTTGTTTCTCACTTGGTACAGAAGCACAGAAGGCAAGAGGGTTGTTATCTAATGGGCTCGACCTACGTACTTCCCACAGAGGATACTGTAACAAATAAATGTCTCACATGGTTTGAACTCAGTAAATGCTGTTTCTAATATATCTATGTGTATATCTATCCACATATATGTACATATATACACATATAAATATGCACGCACATGTGTGCATATGTACATGTTTTACATACATGTGTACACATAGATTAAATTACTAATGCATATTAACTGTATTATATTACGTTAATTTATGTTGTCAATTTTTTAAACTTTTATTTTAGATTCAGGGGTACAAGTACAGGTTTGTTATATAGATAAGTTGCATCTCACTGGGGCTTGGTGTACAGATTATTTTGTCATCCAGGTAATAAGCATAGTGCTCGATAGTTTTTTGGTTCTCTTCCTTCTCCCACCCTCCACTCTCAGTAGGCCCCAGTGTCCCACATTGGAAACTAAACATCAAGTACCTAAGGACACACTTTGCATCTTTGTGTCCATGTGTACTCAATGTTTAGCTTCCACTTATAAATAGGAAAATGCCATATTTGATCTGCTCCTGTATTAGTTTACTTAAGATAATGGCTCCATCCATGTTGCAGCAAAGGCCATGATCTTGTTATTTATCTGGCTGCATAGTATTCCATGGTGTATATTTACCATATTTTCTTTATTCAGTCTACCACTGATTGGCATTTAGGTTGATTCCATACCTTTACTATTGTGAATAGTTCTGCAATGAACATACGCATGTATGTATCTTTATGGTAGAATGATTTACATTCCGTTGAGTATATACCTAATAACAGGATTGTTGGGTCAAATAGTAATTCTACTTTAAGTTATTTGAGGAATCACCACACTGCTTTCCACAATGGCTGAACTAAGTCACATTCCCACAAGCAGTGTATAAACATTCTCTTTCTCTTTTCTCCACAACCCCGGCAATATCTGTTATTTTTTGACCTTTTAGTAATAGACATTCTGACTGGTGTGAGATGGTGGTTCTCATTGTGGTTTTCATTTACATTTCTCTAATGATTAGTAATGTGGAGCATTTTTTGGATGCTTATTTTCAATATTTTTTACATAATAACACTAGTCAAGGTTCACTAGAGGTATTGTAATAGAGACTAATCATCTGGCCTAAGGAAAAATCAAAGAAGCATCCAAGTGTCATACCACTACCAAACTTTATGTGGGCATATGTGCATCAATGAAATATGAGAAGTTTATGGAATAAAACATGCCAAGATACCAAAAGTATTCACTTCAGAGGTATAGAAATGCACTGCCTGTAGTGGAAATAATTATTAAATATTTTCTTGTGCATCTTTGGATAGTTTTATATGTATCAAACAGCATCTATTTTGTAATTTACACAATTCACAAAGAAAAAATGCCAGTATGAGTATGCCAATACATATATACACACATATAAGTATATATGTGCATATATGTGTATATGTACATATAAGTATATATGTGCATATATGTGTATATGTACATATACACCTATATATACGTATATATACACATATATACACATATATACGTATATATACACATATATACACGTATATACGTGTATATACACGTATATACGTGTATATACACGTATATACGTGTATATACACATATATGTGTGTATATATGTGTATATATATGTATTGGCATACTCATACTGGCATTTTTTCTTTGTGAATTGTGTAAATTACAAAATATATATCCATATATATGTATATATATCCATATATAGTGTATATATCATATACGTTTATATATACATATATATGTATACGTATATATACACACATATGTATGTGTGTGTATATATGTATATGTATATATACACACACACGTATATGTGTGTGTGTGTATGTATATGTATATATACACACACATATGTATATGTGTGTGTGTATATATATAGAGACTAATTTAGTTTATCCCCAGAAATCAGTATTTGCATATGTTTATCTCAGATATCAACGAACCATTACATGTCAAAATAATGTGCATTAATTTGAAATAAAATTTGACCTCATGCAAGTAATGCTTTACCTATGACCAGTGTAAATTCTAGCGTATTCCATAACCAAATCTGCCTTATAATCAGTAATATACAGCACAATACAATTTCCATCATAACCATTTTGTGTTACTGAATTTTGATACTACAAATGTGAAAGTTCTCTATTCTTTGTTTCACCAAAATATGAAATATGACTCAATTAAACTGTGCCATTTTAAAGGCAGCTAATATTTTAGTTAGTATAATACTACCTCTAAATCCAGGGTTTAAGTCTTTTGCCCATTCCTGGTTTAATGTTTATGATTTGATCAAAGAACAAGCAACGTCATTATCTAACCCATGATATACATTATTACCATGTCCACAGATGAAAGTGTTTTCTGAATAACCTTTGAAGACAAAAAGCAAAATGGATGGAATAATATCATGGTATAACTTAGCAAATATAATCAGCATATGATATATTTTCATTTTTACTTAATAACTTTTAAATAGACTATGATTTTTCTGAGATTCTTTAAAAGGCAAAAAGATTTATTCCAGAGGAAAAATTCCTAAGATTCAATGTTTGGTTGTTGTTACAGAAAAAAAGCAACTGAAATCCAAATGTTAAGGCACTTTCTCCAAACTACATAATTCAAATAAAACTGGTTAAAATAAATCTGGAGTAAGTGATAAAAATATGTGTTTGTTTGAATAACTGCCATGTAGAAGAATTATTTGTTTGCAATGACACATGGGTAACCCTGCCTTTTGGAATATAATGAACCCCTCAATCCTCCTTAAATCTGTTTAAATTATATTCTTGCTATGCAACTTTTCCTTACATATACTTTATTTTAATGGTTCACTTTCAACACTCACAGTATTCCCATGTTAATAAAAAAATCTTACCAACATACTGAATTTAATGTCAGAAACCCTGTCATCTCAAATAACATCTGCCTTTTTCCCCTCAAGGATAAATATTTTGTACAATTTTCCTTCATTTATTTTCCCAGATATTTTGTAATATCATATTTATTATTCAACACATCTGCCATTAATAATTTTTGGTACTTTTCAGCTGTATCACTGGAATAATTAGACTAAAGCATAATATATCTGGATTTTAATTAATAAGTATTCAAACATTGCATATAACCCCTATGCAATTAATCAGAGCAAAGCAAGGACATGTGTGGAGTATTGGGACTTTGCAATTTCACACTAATAAACATAGGAATCAATTCAGTGATGAGCATTAAAATGTCGCGGTGATATACTTTGAAAGGTACAATATAAACTCATCTCCAGCCACTAACTTACCCAAGACTGTGAGCTCTGCAGAGGCACTAATATTCTCATTTTTATATGTGACAACACAGGTATACATTCCACTGTCATCATCTGTCACATTGGAGATAAGCAAGTTGCTTCCACCCAATAAAGAATACTTTTTAGACCTGCAAGACATAGGGAAGGTGCAGAGTAAATTAACATATGTATATATTAAGCAAGATACTCAGAGCTTTAAATGACCTCCACCAAAGCTCAAATTAAGACACTTGAAAGAAACTGTGTATCATAAGGGCTTGATTAAAGTCTCACTTATTGATCCAAAAATTCACTCAAGGTAAACTACTCCCATTGGAAGATTGTGTGTAGCGATCAAATAAATGAAGCAGATTAAACTTGGAAGTAACTTTAGTGCTAAAAAAAAAATGATAGATAATCTAGTCCAAATCTCTCATTTTGGATTTGAGAACCTCGAGGTCTAGAGAAGTGGTACTCTGAAGTGAAAATCAATGTCCTGTGTCCTGAAATCCAATTTAGTAACCTTTGTACAAAACCATATTTGATACTGCACTAAGAGTGCTTGGCTATACGCAGAGAACACACCTTGATGTGCTGAAATGGTAACTGGATTTCTTGTGTGTTCTAATGTTCTCAAAAATACTGTAATATCATATGCCATGCCTTGTTGTTATCTAAATATTTAAGGTAAATGAAATTTAAAGATTAATTTATGATTGATGGACTTACCTTCTCTATAAAAATAAATATGTTAAAAAGGAGAATACCAGTCCTCAAAAATCAATGAAATTAAGTAAGATCCATTTCATCAGAAAGACTAAGTATTCCATTCTATTGAGAGTTTATTTTCTAACTGTATCTTAATATTAATATTCCAGCAATTCAAAGCCAGCCAAGTTATTCTGTCTTCCCTTAAATATTTGTTATAGCTGGGAATATGAGCGATATAGTTGAAGCTAAAAAAAATTGCTCAAACTCTATAATGACATGCTACATATTTGAATTCAGAAAAATTTAGTTTCATTTTTCCCCTTAGCTTTATTGAAGTACAGTTGACAAAAATTGCATATAATAACAGTGTAGACTGTAATGTTTTGGTATATGTATACATTGTGAAATGATTATCACAGTTGAACTGATGATCATATCACTTCACATAGTTATCTTTTGTGTGTGACACAGAATATTAAGGATCAAACCTCTCTATATACCACTTTCTTATAATGGAATCCACCAAAATTTCTCTGCTGAAGACTCTTTGGACAGGACCATCTCAAAGGCAGCCCTGACTTCCTCAGTTTCCTTTCAGAATTGATCCCATGGATTTTGATCTTTTCCTCATCTTCTCATCCCAGTGGCTAAATATCTTTCATATAACTGTATCATGCCAAGAAATGTGGAAAAATATTCAATTATTATGAAAAACCCTAGTACTGTAGGTACTTATATCAAATTAGAGAAATATAAATAGCAGCATATACCATACAAAAGTACACTTTACAAAAAAGTCTTAAATGTGAAATACCTGAGTTGGATGACTTCCTCGCCTCGTAACCAGGTAAAACTTGGTGGAGGATAGCCAGAAACACAACATTCCAGGACAGCATCTTTTCCTTCAATGGCTACTACATTGGATGGTCTTTGCAGAAAATACAGCTGTCTATGCAGTCCTGGATCTATGAGGGGAAAACACAGTATCATATGATATATGAAAAACATTGCAAAGATAAATGATATATTTTGATTTTTTTCCTAACAAAAGATGGAAAGAAAAATGAAAAGATGCCAATGAAATTTGTAAACTCCTAAAATAGTTTTTTTCATCCCAAGTGTATAGGATTATGATATTGAAATATTCTTAGCTGTTGATGACATCATGGTATAGGGCATCAGCTTGAGGCTATTCATGTATCTGAGGCTACCCATAAGTAAGCAGGAATTGTTTACTTATCAGCATTAGAGAACAGAAAAATGTCAATAGCTTTTCTAAATGTTATTGTCCAAAACTTATTGATATGTTCAGTTTGCCTACCACCAATATCTATTCTACTTTCTTCTACATTGTTTATTGCTTCTGTGGCTTGGAAAATAAGAGAAACAAATATATTAGAATTTGACATATTCAAATTGTATTAAATAGCGTACAGGTACTGAAGAGTAGAATACACAGGTGCTGAGAAAATAACTGCTTTCTTAGAAAAGGAAGTCAGATTTATATAACTGAAGTTGGTTTATTTTATAACTAGTCTGTGTCTGGCTTTTTATTTTTAATTTTAACAACATTTCAAAGAGTGAGTTTGCCCCTAGAGCTGAAACCCTGGGTCAGTGAAGGTCTCTGCATCCTTCTACTTCATCTGATGCATTTACTAGTTCTATATATGGAACACTATTCACTTTTACTAGCAGATAACTGAAACAGTCTTTATGCGACTTAGGAAGTCTTTTGATTCAATCCTTAAATGCATTTCATCCAAAGTTGCTAAGATTATATCAGGTGGAATAAGCAAAAAATTCACAAAGTTCTAAGCCCCAAATGCAATGCTCAAGTAGGCTTGCGGACAGTTAAGAGCTTCTATTTACCTTCCTATATAAGCTCTACTGATAATGCCTGGGGACACACCAAAACCAGTCCTTGGAGGAGGGTGTTCTACCCATGGCAACATCCTCTGACCAGACCTGTTGACTAAAATTATGTCACTCAAAGTTTATTTGAGACAAGATGCTGTGTTTTCAAGTACCCATGAAAATCCACATCTCCTGAGGAAGACTTAATTGAAGTCATCTTCAACCAAATTCATTCAGTGGGATTAGCCAATAATCTGTCATTTTGCAGACTCAAAGCAAAATCTGGATGCAAAGAAAATGAGGCAATGAAATCTTTTAAACTAGGATCGGGGTGAGGAGAATCGCTGAGTGAGGACAGACCCAATCGGGTCATAGCATGAGCTGCTGGTGGTCAAAGAGAATATAAAGTGGGAGGGGACATAGGACATATTTGACATTATCTTTAGTCTTCATTAGCCTGACCCAACTCCACACAGGTATATCACAGTGTAATAAAAAGGACACCAGTTCTCAAGCTAGTAGTTGAGACAGTAATTGTTATCTAAAGTATTCTTTGCGTGGAGAAATAAAATTTCACACTTTCTCAGTCTTCCCACATTTGCTTCTGGTTGTTCCAGCAACAAAAATAAATACTCTTCACAATGAAAATATTGAGAACATTTTCCAAATGTGTTCATCTTTATTATATCAATACTGTAGAAAAATGTCTCAGAACTTTTGAAAATTGCTGATGGTATGCTTCATTTCCTTTCTTCAAAGTGACTTTTCAAATCTCGCAAATATGGTTTGAAAGACAATACTGCTTAATAATAAATTTCCTGAACACGAAAGTTCCCAAAATATATATTTACAAATAGTTGCCTTGATATTAGAGGCCTATGCATTTGAATATTTTACTTTTACCATCTGCTCCTCGGTAGAAATGTTTCTACAACTTACACTATACAATACCGTTCTACAATATCCCCTGTGAAAAACATCAAGATCTACTTAATCTTCTAGCTAAAAAAGAAAAAAAAATTACCTAGGACCTATCAACGATGCTACTAATTTACCCATGGAAGGGACACTTTTTCCTTTCATTTATATATATTATTATTATTATTATTATTTTTATTTTTGAGATGGAGCCTCTCTGTCACCCAGGCTGGAGTGCAGTGGCGCCATCTCAGCTCACTGCAACCTCCACCTCCTGGGTTCAACGGATTCTCCTGCCTCAGCCTCTCAAATAGCTGGGATTACAGTCATGTACCACCACACCTGGCTCATTTTGGTATTTTTAGTAGAGATGGAGTTTCACCATGTTGGCCAGGCTGGTCTCGAACTCCTCATCTCAGGTGATCTGCCCACCTAAGCCTCCCAAAGTGCTGGGATTACAGGCGTGAGCCACCAAGCCCAGCTGAGGTTTTCCACTCAAACTATTTTATCAGAAAACAAAATCATGCAACACAAAATGGTTATTTAATATTTTATTTAAAATTTTTTATTTACAAAACAGTTGAACAGATAGATAGTTCAGAGTATCCTCATATATCAGGTCCCCATCCCTTGCAATGCAGTTTCTCCTATTACAAACATCTTACACTAATGTGGTATAGTTGTTTTAATTCATGAACCAATATTGATACATTATCATTAACTGAAGTCCATAGCTGACATTATTTACACCCTTTACTTTTCATAATCCTATGGGTTTGACAAATGCATGTCATATATATGTATTACCATATCATTTGGAATAATCTCAGCATCCTAAAAATCCCTGAGCTTCACCTATTCATTACACTCCTGCCATCCCTACCAAACTCCAGGCAACCACTGATCATTTTACTATTTCTATAGTTGTACCTTTTCCAGGATGTCATATCACTAGAATCATAAAGTACATAGCCTTTTCAGACTGGCTTTTTTCTCACAGCAATATACATTTAAGATTCCTTCATGCATTTTCATGGCTTGATAGGTTACTTATTTTTATTGCTGGGTAATAATCCATTGTCTAGATGTACCAGTTTATCCATTCGTCTATTGAAGAATACCTTGGTGGCTTCCAGTTTTTGGTGATTATAAACAAATCTGCTATAAACATTCAAGCATACATTTTTATCAGGACATAAATTTTCAACTCAATTAAATATATTGGAGTGCAATAGCTAGATTGTATGGTAAAACTGTTTAGCTTTGTGAGAAACTGCCAAACTGTCCTCTGAAGTGGCTGTACAATTTTTCATTGCCACCAGCAAAAAAAGTTCTACATCCTTGTCAGCATTTGCTATTGCCATTATTTTTTTTGTATTTTAGCCATTCTAATACACGTGTAATGGTATATAATAGATGTTTTAAGTTGCAATTGCCTAATGACATATGTTAAACATATTCTTATGTTTACTCTCCATTTTTATATATTCCTTGGTGAGGTGTCTGTTCAGATCTTTTATCTATTTTTAAATTTATTTCTTTCCTTTTAATAATTTGTTGTGTGTTTCGGATTGAAGCCCTTGATCACAAGTGTGTTTTGCAAATTTTTTTTCAATCTGTGGGTTGTTTTTTACTCTTTTAAAAGTATCTTTTGTAGAAGATAAGTTTTTAATTTTAATAAAGTCCAACTTATCAACTTCTCCTTTCATGATTATTTAGACGTTATACCTAGAAATGCATTGCCAAATTTGCTTACCTATATTTTTTCCTACATTATCCTCTAGAAGTTTCATAATTTTGTGTTTGAATTTAGGTTTACGGTCCATTTTGAGTTAATCTTTGTGAAAGGTATGTCTGGATTCTTTTTTTTTTTTTTTTTGTATATGGACATTCTATTGTTCCAGTACCACTTGTTGAAAAGGCGATTTTTTTCTCCACTGACTTGATTTTGCTCAAAGATCAGTTGACTGTATTTGTCTGGGTCTATTTTAGGGAGCTCTCCTCTGTTCCATGGATCTATTATTTTGCCAATACCACACTATCTTGACTGTTGTAACTTTATAGTAAGTCTTGAAGTCAGGTGGTGTCCATCCTTTGACTTTGTTCTTCTTATTCAGTATTGTGCTCTCTATTCTGGGTCTCTTGTCTTTCCATGTAACTTTTAGATTCATGTTGTTTAACAAAATTACTTACCAATATTTAATCTTTGTTTTAAAATATCAGTGGTCCAGGCATCACTGGACTTATTCAGCCAAAAAAAAAAAGAACCATCGACTTTTCCATTTTCAGATAGAGCATATATGGTCCAGATTACTCCAATCTTGACTTGGCTCATTTCAGTGATGTTTGTTACCATCGTAGCTTCATAGGCATTGGAATTTGTACATACATTCATATGAAAATGTCAGCTTTTGCCAGAAAAACATGATCTTATTTCCCCAATAAGTTTGGTATTTCTTTATATCATTTGATAAGTTCAAATAGTAAGAAAGTTCCCCCAAAAGGAACACAATTTTTCATTAATAGTAAGTAGTTCATACATTTTACAACTTTGTGCTAGATTAATGATCAAAAAATTTTTTAATATTCTCTAATCCAAAAGGGATGCCTTTTACTCTTGTTGTAAATAAGGCCTGGCCTTGTATCTTGCTTTGACTGGTAGATTATGGTGAAAGTCACGCTGCATGAGCTCTGCAGCCACGGTCTCAAAAGGCCTTACAGCTTTTGCCATTGCTGTCTCTGACACTACCATGTAAGTCTAGCCAAATGGAAGACAGAAAGTCACGTGGAGAATAACTGAGGCACTCAGTCAACAGCCAGCACTAGCTGTCGGGCATGTGAGTGAGGCCATCTTGAAACCTCTCTCTCAGCCAAATGCACATAAGTGAGGCCAAGTGTAACCAGCAGAGAAACTGTTCATATAAACTATAGAATCATAAGAAATCATAAATCATTACTGTTTTGAGTCATTAAATTTTTTAGTTTATTATGCTGCAAAAAATAACTGAAATATATACATAAAAATGAAACCAAGATCTCAGAAACTTAAAATACCAAATAACTTTGTTATTTCAGTTTGATTTTTAGTTTGTTTTTGCACTGCTGAAATGTTCTACAGAAATATTATTAAACTAGATATCTGCCTTATTTTTCTCCTTTATTTACAATATGAGTTTTAGAGAGGAGGATTAAGAAAGTATATTTATATTTTTAAATGAGGAGGATAAAGATGCAATTTTCAAGGTTAATGTTGTGTGATGGAATTATGGGTGGTTTTTTCATCTTTGGATTCTTGCGTATTTTCTAAAGGTTTTAAAATAACATGTAGTATTCTTAGAGTACAGAGTTATCTTAAACTCTAGTATTGCAAAGTGTGTAGAAATTGTACCAGGAGCAAACAATTATAAAAGTTAATGACTAACATTCGAGGCACATATTTAAGAGCAAAGGAAAATTTTTCCTCTAAGCTCGGTAAGAATAGATTAAAAGGCCCTGGGAGATGTGAACTTAAAATTCTAGGTTGTGAGTCTTGTTGACTAAATTGATTTTAATGGAACCATGATGAAATTAGTAATTACTGATTAAAAATCATTTGTGTTCTCGTTATATGGGCACCACTATTCATATCCAAATGCAATTATTCAGCTAATAGAATATAAAGACTTTTCCAGTAAATTAATGAACATAGTTCAATTACAGGAGAGGGTATCAGAATGCAAATTTGTAATGTTCTATTTCATAAATTGGTTGACACATACATGGTCATTTTCCATTTTATTCTCTAAGATATACATATATTTCATGTACTTATATGTATCTATGGCATATTTTAAAATAAAACTGAGAGAAAAATATAAGCGTGGGTCCTAGAAAACATATTTGACAATAGTTTTATTCAAGCCAGCAGAAAAAAATGGATTTTTTTCTAATGTCAAATTTTGGTATTAAAATCTACAAAAGCATACCTCTTTAATGTGATGCTCATGAACGTAAATGTACAAAGTTATGTAACTATTTTTCTAAATCGATTAAAAGCAGTAATGCTTTACTTGAACTCAAGCCTAGTTTAGCATTTCCCTATTGGGGAGAAAATGTTAACCTGATTCTTTGAACTGGTCTGTTTGTTATCCTGGTGGCAGTACAGATAATCCTCCCAGACAGCAAGAGGGTGGTATGGAAATAAAGAGAAAACAGTCATTACAGTGATACTGATCTCAGGCTACACAGGGTGCCTTAAAATGTGGAACCACCCTATGGCAATACGTTGCCTTTGCTATCCTTTCCTTTCTCTCTTTCCTCTTCACTTTTTTCTAAATAGAAATATTGACCTACTTTAGCTTAATCTGTTACCTGAGTTGAGGATGACCAGTCTACAATCATTACAACAAAGAATAACGATGCAGACAGTGAATCCCAAACTGTTGGGTCTCAGGAACTTTTGTGCTTTTGAAAATTATTGAATATCCCCTTGAAGCTCTTTAGCTTTTGATTATACAGGATATAGCAACAAATACATTCCATACTAAAAATCAAAACAGATTTTTAAAATATTTGTTCATTAAATATTGATTCTTTTTGAAACAGAGTCTGTCTCGCTCTGTTGCCCAGGCTGGGTTGCAGTGGCATGATCTCAGCTCACTGCAACCTCCACCTCCCTGGCTCAAGCCATCTTCCACCTCAGCCTCCCAAATAGCTGGGACTACAGGCACATGTCACTACGTCCAGCCAATATTTTTTATTTTTTTCTTGTTTTTTTTTTTTTGTTTTCTTTTTTTTTTTTTTTGAGACGGGGTTTCACCAGACTGCCCAGGCTGGTCTCAAACTCTTGAGCTCAAGCAATCTGCCTGTCTCAGCCTCCCAAGTTGCTGGGATTATGGGCATGAGCCACTGTGCCCAGTCTATTAAATATTTATTTTTACCCCATCAAAAATAATATTTTTAAAAAAACACCTATGTCGGCCAAAACAAAATTATTATTGAGTATAGTGGTAGTTCTTTCCATTTTTATAAATCTTAAAAATTATTGGTTTAATTTAAAAATACTTTCTGCATTGACATTGTTCTGTTATGTTGTTTTGGTCGAATTACATAGAAACAATCTGATCTCAAACAAACATGTAGTTGGAAAAGGGAGGTGTACTTTGATAGCCTTTTCACATAATTGTAGAGATATCCTTGAACACTTCAGCAAAACTCAATAAGCAGGGTTTTGAAAATTAGTTGTAATGTGAAATCTAGCACCATATTTATAAACGTTTTGTGCTATGTTATGTAAAAATCTACTGATCTAGCTGGTATTTTGAATAGATCTTTTACCCATGCATGATTCTGTCACATCAATCACTGGTTATTTGGATTGGTACATTGTATTAGACACATCTTCCAAATGTTGAAACATTTATAGATTAGCAAAAAGTCTCATTTGCTACTCTCACCACCAATCCCATCAGAAAGGTGCTTGAATGTTGGGAAGCTGTCAAGCTCCCAGTGGCAGATACATGTTTTGCAAATTTCTAACTTAAAAACTTGAATTTCATTCTTGGAAGTAAATATTATTTTCCTTGAAGTAGCTGGCTCACTTTGTTCATTTTTGAGAAATGTGTAACAAGTATCCAAGTGTGAACAGCAAGTTTTTCTATTGACTGTCCTTTCAAGTAAAAATGGTGTTTCATGAAGAAAAAAAAAAAAAAGGTAGCTAATTCAGCTTGAAACACAAATGACCTCAGAAGTGTTTACCATGCAAAACCCATTATACTTTTATTTTTGCGTATGTATTTTCCTATGTTGACACATGTGGAATACTAAAAAGATGTGTACTTTAAGGATCGAGACAATAAAATTAATAATTTTCACTGCTTTTTCATGGACATTCTTAAGCCAACATGGTAAAAAACTCAAAAGATATATATTATTATTAAAATAAATCTTTGACCTCGCAGATCCCCTGAAAGCATCTCAAGAAATTCCAAAGTTCTAGGTATCTACCATACTTTGAGAACAAATGCAGACACAGTCTCATAAAATTAATCATGTTTCTGAAATACTCAAGAAGCCCATTTTCCTTCAACATAGAAATGGTTTTGTATCTCTCAAATAGAAATTGATAAATATATTTCTTCTTTTTCCCTCTTTCAGTCCCCTTTTCCTTCCTTCCTCTTTTCTGCCTCTCTTGCCCCTCTTATTTTGCCTTTGAGAAGATAGTGCAAAATTAAATATGTTCAATTACTATATTTCAGCAATAATTTGTTAAAAGTCAAATAGCATCATGGATCATATAACCTGACACATTTATTTACACTTAATATATTCAGAAACAAAAAGTCAACTATCATCAGGCCCCATGCCCTAAAGAAGGGAAGATGTATTAAAGGAAGAGAATATTTCCTTTTTAAAGAATTGTTTTAAAAAAGGTTAAAACATTACAATGGTCAAATTAATTGAGTGTGTGTGACATACTGAGGGGCATATTCACTGTCCATATTCACAGATTTTCCCAAATGTCTTTGGGGCCACACTATTTTATCTTCCCTCATGGTAGATGACTAGGTTGGTCATATAAATTATCCAACCTGGGACCCTAAACACTCCTTACAATTATTTTAGGACACTGGATGTGATCAAATGTATCCTGAGTAAACAAGAATTTATGCTAATGCAGTGATGACTACGGCTTTCCTTTAACAGGGCCATTTCCCTAAACAGTTATTTAGGAACCTCAACATGAAATTTACGGCACTGAATCTAAAGAATAACTGAGACACAGAGAAATTAAATTATGGACTGTTGACATCTGCGTTGGCAAGAAAAAAATACCAGTTTTCACAACTTAATAACTGTCTTCCTCAAAATAACCAGTAGTTGCTTTTAATTTTTATGCTTTCTGAATGCAAAAGCCTTTTTTCCTCATTGTGTACTCCTCGGTTTTCTTTATTAAATTCCTGCCTCCATGGAATATCAAACACATTTCCAAATGGAAATGAAAGGGCACTGCAGGCTACTGTGGGGTATTTTCTTTGATTTCTTCCCAGGCATAAGAGTTACAAATTAATTTAACTTCAGAGAGCTAGTTTGCTCTGTCTGCATCCTCAATTTCAAGCTAACCTACTGTTCACCTGCTGGCTGCTTAGCCATCCCGCATCTAGTTCTGTTTTAGAATATTCAGCAGGTACCGTGAGCCTTCAAACACCAGTAGGTACTCTACTATGTGCTCTGAGTGAAAAATTCCATGAAACTCCTAACTCTGTGTTTAGAATATTCTTTATTGAAAAACCAGCCTAATCCAAACTGATCACGGGAACCAGAATTTATTTAATAAAAAAATGAAAACTTCCATCTGGCTGTAAGCCAAGGAGCTTTTGGACATGGAGGGAGAAAGAAGCCATTTCTCCGGAGCTATTATTCACCACTCTAGGATTCTATTATTTTCCTTCCTCATTTACACCAATTCAGTACTAAAAATGACATTCCCTCTCTGTAAATATTCCTACATCTGTTCATATTTCCTCTTTCTTTCTCTATGTACACATACATATTGCTATTTCTAGTTAGAGTCTGGCGGAAGAAAGGAAATCATCTATTCTTATCACTGGCGTATGGCTTCTACCCCTTGTGTCTCACAGCAAATTTTAAGTCTATCAGATTCATTTTGTAGCAAGTCTGAAGGAAGTGATTTTTTTTTATTTTTAGATTTTTTTTTTAATTTTGCAGCTGACAGTAGAATCCCAGAAAACAAATGTTGCCATTATGATGTGTCAAAGTTAGTTTGGAGAATCCAAAAATCTTCATGATGTATAGATACATGCATAAAGCAGCATTAAAAACTTTCCAGAAAAGCAATGGGTTTGTGATTTTGGCTCTTGTTGTTTGATAATGAACCAAAGCATTTGGACTATTTCCCATTTTGTCAGTGTTGAATCAATAAAGGTGTGCCTATAATTTATGACTAAATTTGTCTTTTTTTATGTTCCAGGAATAAATAGATGGCAAATGAGGCCAAAGAAGGAAGCAAGCTCTACAGGTCTTTTCACTATTTTTTTGTGACTTTTGCTTCATGGGTTATAAGTCTGGATCCTACACACCCTCAGGGAGGTTTTCTTGTTCATGTGAGAGTCACGGATGATTGCCTGACCCTTAAGATGACCCACCTAGGGCTGTTAAATATCACATTCATAAGTAAATGCAGAAATGACCATATTTTGGCCTCATGAGACTCTTGGGAAAAAACAGGTTCTCTCCTTTCCAAGACATATTCATTCCTTTACGTGGAGGACAATCTCAAATACATTGTTTTTGCTTTTGAACTTACAGGAAATAGTAACTTTTCAGGGAATAGTAGCTAAGAGAATATAATATAATCCATATCTAACATCACTCAAGGTCAACAATAAAAATAGAAAAAAAAACTGGTTGATTTGCTGAGGGGGAGATCACTAATTTTAGAATGATAGACATGACTAGAAAAATGTAATCAGTCCCCAAGTTTTTAAAGGTTCAGCTTGGAATCCTGAGCCTTGTTGATGTCCGTCCAAATAGCATTGGGAAATAAATAATTACGTTTTAATTCAGAATCAAACAGAAATGGTCTATGTATCCACAGTAAGTCAGGTTAGGCTTATCAACATATTAGGCTTTGTTACATCTGAATGGAATGTCATCAGCTCCATGTGAAAGACTGGTTACCTTGGTTATTGCACATTGGTTAAATGACCTGACCTACTATAACTAATTCCACTACAATAGGATTGTCAATTTACTCCTGTGCTCTGCCTAGCCCTAGTTACCAAGGAGGGCAGGCTAAAGTTATCATCTGGTGTGGAGAGGGGCACAGAATGACGTGGAACTTAGTTGTACACAATAAAAGGTATCCTATCTTCTTTTGGTGTGATTTGTGTGACAGCATAAACTGACTTAAAACTATTTTTTATTAATCTAAAAATAGAACAATCTCATATTTCATAAAATTGATTTTTGACCATTAATTATTGTGTTATAGCATGGCCTTGCAGCTTTTAAGGATTAGATTTTGTCTTGCTAACCTGAATTGTTGAAGTCTAGGATTATAAAGGCAGAGTTGAGGGTGAGTATGGAGTGAAATAATAAATGAGATCCTTTATAGTGAAAAGATTTGAAGACGCTGATGTCGTCCACCCTTTTCTCTTAACAGATAAGGAAACTAAGGGTTTGAGAGGATTAGAATTGTTCATGGGTAATGAAGATCAAACACTATCAAGCTTATTTATCTCCTGACTCCTATTTCTAAACCAGTTCCTCTTATACCATATCATACAGCAAAGGAAAATAATGTTACTGGAGAGGTAAAGAAAGGTAAAATCATGTAGCAATAAGTTACTAGAGAGGAAGAAGATGCAGGAAACTCTGACTTCTCTTAGATGTGAAAATAAAATGCAGAAATGTGCTAGGACTACAGATAAATAGCTTAAAGCATGTGTAATGAACTACCAGTAGACAAATTAATACTTATGAGACCCAGAATCCAAAATCAGGTAATTTATTACCAGAGAAATTATCTTGACATGAAAATAGAATTATTTAAAACTGGAAACTCTAAAATGCTAAGATAATTATAATAGCTACTGAGGACTTTGAAGTTACAGGCATTGTGCTTGTCTTGTCAAACTCAAGCCTCACAACCACCCTATGAAATATGTGGTATTACTTGCGACATTTTATAAGATAAATAAAGATTCAGATTAAGTAACATGCCCTAAATTGTACAATTACCAGGTGGTGAAACCAAGATTTGTACTTAATCATTCTGTGTCAGACCCCATGATATTAACCACTTACTATAACAGTTCAAGTTGGGAACTTTTAATATTTATTAACTGGTCAATGTTAAGTCAATGTTAGCAGAATCCATGGAAATAGACTGTGAGAGTCCATATGCAGACCTTTTCATGCCATCTGAATTAAATCTGATATATCTAGAAAACATGGACTTCATCTGGCTTAAATACAATAAGATCATATACTTCATTTTTTTCCAGTATATATGAGAGGAGCACAAGAAATCATTTTATCCATCTTAAATCTATGAAAGGCTAAGTGCACCCTGTTTATACCCTGGTATAAGAGAAAGTTTTCTTCAAACTAGATTTTTAAAAGAAAACACAGTATGAGAAACTCCTACAATGCAGCAAAAAAAAAAATGTTAAATATGAGACAAAAATATCAGGTAATGCATTAACCTAATGTGCTGTTCACTTCCGTTTTTTGGGTGTATGTTTATGTCAGTGTATTCATTGCTCAAAAACCTTCAGCAATGCCCAATCATCAACAAAGTTAATTGAATCAAGTCTAAATTCCTAGGCATAAATTCCCTACTTGAACTGTTATAATAAGTAGTTAATATCATGGGGTCTGACACAGAATGATTAAGTACAAATCTTGGTTTCACCACCTGGTAATTGTACAATTTAGGGCATGTTACTTAATCTGAATATTTATCTTATAAATAAAGTGAGCTCAATTTCTCATTCTGCATTTATCATCTACTGGAATCATTGTACAGACAGTTCTTCCCTTATGACCTATAAAAGTAATAATCTATGCAAACCTTCCAAATTTCCCAACTAGTTCCTTGTCTATGTTCATTTAGAACTAGAATTGTGTACCTGAATTTGCCCTTCTCTGCCTTATGTTAGTCATAGGGCTACGCGAATTAACTACCTGGCTTAATACATTTTAAAAGTGAAGAAAGTGTCCTCTTTGTTACACAGATCATTATTCCATAGAAATGGAATCTATTTTCTATAATGTAACTACATTCTATTTTTATAGAAAACATAGAAAATAGATTAGTTTTGAAATGTAAGTAATATTTAGCAAAACTGAAAAGTTTAATGTGCCATTGAGTAATAAGTTCTTAGTGATGAAGAAAAATCTAAAACTATTTGTTTTAAAACTGAAGACAGGATTTTCCTTTCAAATAAGATGGATTTTAGAATGGTTTCTGCTAATATTTATTTTAATAAAAATATAGACAAAAATCATGTATATTTTAGTCCAATTTATTTCTTTAAAAGCCAAGGTCTCTAATTAGATAAATATTTAGTTAAGGTCTATACAGGACTCAGAGTCATCTAACTGTAGTTAAACAAATAATAGATTGAATTACCAATTGATCAATTCAATTAGGCCATTAGGCAAACTAAAGAATTCCATTGTATAGGCCAGTAATTGTAGTCAGTCTAGTGCCCAAAGCAGATTTATAATTGTGCAATTCAATGTCCTGCTTGGCACTCAGACATGATGCGACATGAATAAAGTGAACTTGACAACCACAATGGCTGCTTCCATTCATCACATGTTCGCCATCACACACAATCAGACATTGTAAAACATCTCAACTCTTAGTGTTTTGTTATTGATATTTTAAAAAATGCTTTAGCACAATGTATTACTGATTCTGTTACATATGTATAATTTCCATAGCAAAAATTCAATTTGTCTTAAAACATTAATCAACAAATGAAACTAGGTACTAATTTTCCTACCTTTAATGAAACAAATAATTATCTTAATCTGGAAGAGATAAAACTTTATGGGAAAATATCTTCTAAAAAATCTATAATTTGTTTTAAACACAGTAACACTACTCTCCCACTTCCAGTCTCAATGAAAAATGCTACTAACCAGCTTCTGTCAGAGTCTGGATTCCATCCCTTCACCCATAAGCCACATGTGATATGTTTCCAGGACCAAACCAAACATCATTTCTGGATCTTCTCTGATGTTGCCTTAGTAGCTGCTTTTGGTCAATTCTCTCCAGGATGAGCGCTGTAGCATTCCACCTCATCCTCCTTACCATTTAACTCCCTTCTTTCCAGCTTCTTCCCCTTTATCGCTTCCTGCCTATGAGCCAGTCAAACAGAATATATACAGTTCGCCTGAAAAGCTTTTGATCTCTATTTTCTTTATGCTTTTCACGTGCTGCTCTTTTTCCATGGTGTATACTTCTCTTTGCCTAGCTAGTACTTGTTGGTATTGCTCTTATGAGGGTAATGGTGCTCTGTGTTTTCTTCTCTCACAGCACAGCCTACTTGCTTTGTCTATTTCTCCCATTGGACTATAAGCTTTTGTAGGGCATGGTATTCCAACATTTCATTCCTAGCAAACATCAAGATGTCAGGTATGTAAGATTCATTCAAAAGTTAATTGAATAAAGTATTTACGTAATGAATAAAGTGAAACTGGTCGCTGAAAGACAGCACTTTAAAACCACTGTTTGTTAAACTCTGAATTTAATAGACCTCAGTTACTTGGTGATAGAAGACACCTGATATATAAAAGAGGCAACCTGAAATAAGTTTCACATAGACTTGAATAAGTATATTACATTAAATATTATTTAGAATTATATAACTATAAACACACATAAATTCAAACACTTCTTATGAACTATGGTAAAAATTAATGTTGGGGAAAGTTGCAAAATTTCTCATTAACATCTACATCTCAAACTAAAGCAAGATATAAATTACTTCATCAGTCAACATGGTAATTTAGTGACTCCAGGAAAAGATATACCTTTCAAGAGTTCTAACCATTCTGGTACCATGTTGAATAGTCCTAAGTCATGCCAATAATATGATGTTTGTATATGTGCATGTATGTATTAACATGTATACACACATATGTATTATATATGTAATTTATTACTGCCTCACATTGGTACTTACAGAGAGTGAAAATTGATTCATAAAGGATTACGATGATTTTTGAAATGAGAGAACGCTAAGTGGCAACTAAGAGAAGCAGAGATTTGCCATTCATTCATTCATTCATTCATTCATGCACTCACTCAATCTTGTACTTATTGCGCATCTGTGAATTTGACCTCTAAACCAACTTGCAAACTCGAGAATGTGTTAAAAGCATTCTCCTTTAGCAGGTTCTTTATTTGGCAGCTAGCATACGAGACAGGCTTAGCCAAGTATGACAATAACCTGTGTGTGTGTGCGCATGCATGTGTACACACGTGCATGTACTATCTTAACTCAATTTTTTCTAAAGTTTATATTTGAATTCATATAATTTAGATAAAAACCCTCATTTGATGTGATGCCTTTACAAAAATATCAGTTTCAATTCAGCTAAGAAATGCTCACACATCTCAAAAGTACAACATGTTCTCTATTTTAGGCAAATTAAGAAAACAAAATTTGGCTTAAAATAAATCTCCATGGTTTACAATGCAAATGGCTGTTGCAAGGTGAAGAAACAAAGGTAAATGGGGATTTGATTATAATGTCTCTGTGTCTTTTAAAACTGCATTTCAAATTTAATATTTCATTAGTTCAACTTGATTCCTTAATACCACTGGAAAACAGATTTTCCTGTCATATTAAGATAAACATATGCTTGCCAATTTTCCATGCAGCTTACCTTGGCTTCCCATCTGATATACTCAACAGATGCATTATTAATAATATGTGAATATAAATATTTAAAACTTTGTGTATGTAATGGATACGTAAATAGATGCATGTATGTTTTGGGAATAAATGCTAGCTTTGCTTCTGTCATTGCCTAGCGGATGAAATGTAAGTGTTACCAATGGTTATTGATACATTTAAGTCAGTATCCCTGTGACTAATGGAGTAGAGAATCTGCAAAAGAGAGGTTTTAGAGATGTCCTCATTAAAGCACCTGGAAACTTTCAATTGAATTGCCAGTTTGCTTTTAGAATTACAAGAATGCTACTCTCTGCATAGCTGAAGTACTTGTGATAACTATACACAGTTAAGAGCGCAGAGACCGAAGCCAACATCCATACTTTGAGATGTAGTCAGTTCCAATTTCTCCAGTGTGTGCCTTTTTTGGGATTCTCACAAGAGCGTCTAAGTCAGTCTTACAAGTTCGGCTAAAAGAGAAAGTAGGCATTACATGAGATTCTAACTAATTAGAATCGCAAAATGAGGCCAGTGTCTTAGGGATTTCCCAGAGAAGAGAAAGTAAAATAAGAGTTGGAGAGAAATGACTTTTTTAAAATCATCATATCAATCACACCCTATTGTAATTACTTACATGTGTGCATCCACCCAGAACTCTAATGGGCCAGGCTCTGGGACAGTCTTTGCCACTGCCGGATTCCTAGTACTTAGCACAGTGCTTCTCAGAAATAAGCATGTGAATGGACAAGTAAGTGATTGTTCAGGCTGGGCACAGTGGCTCACGCCTGTAATCCCAGCAATTTGGGAGGCGGAGGCTGAGGCAGGCAGATTGCTGGAGCCCAGGAGTTTGAGACCAGCCTGGGCAATAGGATGAAACCTCTTCTTTACAAAAAAATACAAAAAATTAGCCGGGTGTGGTGCCACAATTCTGTGGTCCCAGCTACTGAGGCTGAGGTGGGAGGAACACCTGAGACTGGGAAGTTGAGGCAGCAGTGAGCTGTGATCGCACCACTGCATTCAGCCTGGGCAACAGAGTAAGACCCTAGTCTAAAAAAAATATGTATATATGAATGATATGATGTATATATACATGACATATATCATGCATATATGATATATATCATTCATATATACATGATATATGTATATATCCATATGGATATATACATATACATATGTATATATCCATATGTATATATCCATGACATATCATGTATATATCCATGACATATCATGTATATATGATATCTATCAAGTATATATGATATATATCATGTATATAGGGTATATATATAATACATATCATGTATATATGATATATATGATATATGTATGATATATTTAAAATTTTGTGTATGTAATGGAAATGTAAATAGATGCATGTATGTGCTGGGAATAAATGCTAGCTTTGCTTCTGTTATTGCCTGGTAGATGAAATGTAAGTGTTGTCACTGGTTATTGATACATTTAAGTCAGTATCCCTGTGACTAATGGAGTACAGAATATACAAAAGAGAACTCTTCACACTTTACCACATTTTCTGTCTGGCACTACAGTATGCTCAGAGCCTAAATAGTAATGAAGATGTTGCCATTCATCTCTAGATGCTTATTTATTGGTAAAAAAAAACAGCCCTGTAAAATAAACAAAGTAGATAAGATCAGCCTAATTTTAATATTGAACTATAGATATATGATATATGATACATATATATATCTATATGTATCATATATCTATAGTTCAATACTAACTTAGGGAATGTTCTTAACGTTGCAAATTTTCACCTTCATCCTTTGAAATGAATCAAAACTACCTCTTAGACTGTTATCAGAGGAAAATGAAATAATATGTGAGAAATGCTTATCAATGGGCCTTGCACAAAGAAATACTCACTAAATATTAATAGAACAAGTGAATGAATAAAGGAGAGATAACTGTTTTTCCAGAAACTTCAACAAGACATGAAAAAAAAAAAAAAGAACAGCTTTTGGTACAACCTGATTGAATGCTTCGGCAAGGAAGAAAGAAATAATAAACAAAACGCAATGAACAATACAGAACTTATAACAATTACAAATATCTGTTAAAGAAAAAAATTGTTTTTCAACTTATTCCAGAGAATATCATTCTGAAGGCAACAAAGAGCATTGCAATACCTGATAAAATTCTGACTTCTGCTTCATTTCCTGTTCTTGAGCTGGCTGGATTTCGAGCTGAGCATCGGTAAATTCCAATGTCCCCCGGTTGGAGTCGGCTGATCTGCAATGCTCCAGAGGGCAAGACCACCACTCGGGAGTCACCTGGGATTGGAGTCAGGTCTTGTTGGTTCTTCTGCCAGTGGATTGTTGGCATGGGCTCCCCAATGACTTCACACTTGAGTAGCACTGTGTCTCCCATGAAGGCTGTGACAGATTCTGTCTGTGAAAGGAACCTCAGTGGTCCTAGGAGAAAAACAAAGAAGGAAGAATAAGTCTTCCAAATAAAGCACAATAATCGCCAATAAAAATAATCACTTTGTATTCTTTGTAGAAAATTATATTTTACAAGCTGTTTTCTCAAATATCGTCTCATTTGCTCTTCACACTTTACCACATTTTCTGTCTGGCACTACAGTATGCTCAGAGGCTAAAAAGTAATGAAGATGTTGTCATTCATCTCTAGAAGCTTATTTATTGGTAAATAAAACAGCCCTGTAAAATAAACAAAGTAGATAAGATTAGCCTAATTTTATAGATAAGGAAATTGAGGTTCAGAGAAGTGAAATCCCACATTGGAGTTCAGTTTTTAGATGACAGTCCTACAGACAGCAACTTGTTCTTCCGAATCCTGGTCCTATGGACAGAATTCCTGTTACCCCACTTTGGACAAAGGATTATGAAGTCATGAAGATTCATGAAGGACTCGTCATACGGCATGACCTAGAGCAGCTTCAAGAAAGAGGGATGATAGGAACCACCAATTATAGTAACAAAGGATTGTCTTTTAGGGTTTACTGCTTAAGGTAAATGTTCATCCACATTTGCCAGGTATGGCTGTGGTGTAGTGAAAAGATTTAAAAGCTGGAATTAGGATAGCTTGTGTTTCTAGACTAGTTGAGCCACCTATTACATATGAATACTTTGGAAACTTGTTTCATTTCTTTGGGCCATGAAATGGGGTAATATCTAATTCACATAGTCACTTCAATGTTCATATGAAATAACATGTGAAAATGATTCATTCATATGAATGACCAATATAAGGAAAAAATAAAAGAAATAAACTGGCCATTACATACAAGCATAAGCATGCATGAAAAAATAAAACAAATAAACTGGCCATTACATACAAGCATAAGCATGCATATACATGCTTGTATGCATCACCATGCATACAAGCATAAGCATGGTGAGAGAGAAGGCTTCTCTGCCATGACGTTGTACATGAGAGGGGTAGGTGTTTTCACCTTGCCATCTCAAACCCCCTGATATGAACAAGTGGATATTTGTGATCCTAAGTTTTGACCATGAAATTCTTGTGTTTTTTTAAATTATTACAAAGAAATCTATTGGTATCAATTGTGCCATCAATGAAAGACCACTGGCAAATTCTTAGAGAAAATTCAACTAAATTTTAATAATTATTTATGTTTGCTATTCATCCCAGTTAAATTCTGATATTTCTATTTTCATTTGACTCATTCCAGAATTGTTTTAATTTTATGCACATGTCACAATAAACTTTGATCCATTCATCAGTCTGGGGTTCATGTCAAGTTTTACTAATCATATTTTATGTTACTGTGATTTTTATTTTATAGATTTAAGTCAACATTCCCCAGGTCCAGGTTTAAATTTTGTCCAGAAAGCTTGATTGTCTCATTAATCTTCAGTAAACAAAATTCTACTGTGTTCAGTTTTAATTACCCTTAGTTTTAATTTGGGTCTATTAATTTTCATGATCCTAATTTTCCCCACAACCTGATACAAATTTTGCTGTGGCCAAAAGGGCAAAGGTAAAATGACCTGGGTCAAATCATAATTTAATATGAGAGACAATAAGCGATGCTATTTCACTTTCCCTCCCTAAGTGAAGGTGAAATTTTACGTCTCTTTTAGGGATTAGAGTTTTGGACCACAAAATAACTGAATCTATGAAATATAAAATTAGACCAAAATTATATGTGGGTTAGGTACAAGCTGCTGAAGGATATCACTCATTATAGCTACATCCACAGAAATAGACCTGCAATCCTAGAGATGCAATATTAAGATTGTTCTTTGTAAGAAAGATTAATGCTATACCATGCAAAAACCTTAATATTGATGCAAATATTAATTTATCCCTCACATATATATTCTAAAATTACTCATCTGATTCTTAAACTAAGGCTCTGAAATCTGGATCCATGGGGATGCCTGGATAAACACTACAGATTGCCTACAGGGGGCGCCAGCCACTTGGCTAATTTTATTCTTTTTCAGTTAGAACTAATCTGTGTCTGTGCTGCATCTACCACTGGGTGAAGAACGAAAGGAATTAGTTACCTTGTACCCAGGCTTATTGCTCAAAATCCAGTTTCCAGACTGTCTGCATTATACAGTCTTGTGTCTATTCCAAAGAAGTACGTTAATCTACTACAGATTGGCTCAGGTATGGATTTAAGGCATGTACTTAAACAGAGCATGATCTGTGTCTACCACACAAAGCAAAGCTGCAATGAGTAGTGACAGATATGAGGCTTATGTAGGGCAATGAGTTTCGCACAAATTTGATTTTTATTTAATAGTTTTCTTCTTGGTTGTCATCCCTAGTATTTTATTTTGTAGTTAAGGAAATATAGTCAGGAATAATTTTCCAATATACACAAGTTATGTATTTAATATATGTAGGTGAGAATAAAATTTTAAGTTGATTTTAATAATCTGGACATTTATATATTCAGATTTATGGCTCTTTAGAAGTCATACACATTGGATAAATTTAAAGCATTTAAACCATTTATCCATGGTGGTTCACACCTGTAATCCCAGCATTTTAGGAGGCAAAGGTGAGAGAATCACTTGAGCACAGGAGTTTGAGACCAGCCTGGGCAACATGATGAAACGCTGTCGCTACAAGAAATTTTTAAAAATTACCCAGGTGTGGTGGCACACACCTGTGGTCCCAGCTACTCGGGAGGCTGAGGTGGGAGGATCACTTGAGCCCAGAGGCAGAGGTTGCAGTGAGCTAAGACTGTGCCACTGCACTGTAGCCTGGGCAAGAGAGTGAGAACCTGTCTCAAAAAAAGAAATAATAAAACAGAAAATTAAACATCTATTTTACATCCGAATGTCTTTTGCATTCAAAAATGTATTTGCAAGTAGGTTCTAGAGCCTGGAATATGTAAAATGAAATAGTAATTCAAACTGATACTCAACAATTGGTTTCCTATGTAAACTTCATCTACTTGGAAGAATTCGATACAAAGGCTGGGATTGCATATTAATATAATTAGACTTAACAGAATTGGCTAATAGAATTGCATGCACTCTGTGATGATTTCAGATCTTAACAAGCCAGGGCCAGAACTGCATCCTGTTTAAAAGTTAACAATGCAATGTTTGAAAATTTCACAGAGTTGATTATTTGTCATAGTGAGAAATTATAAACATGATGCATAGTCTTTTCTTTTTGTCTCTAAATGGGAAACTCTACACATTCAAAAGCAATTCTAAGTTTATAAGGCTCTATAAGGCTTGACTGAATGCTCCCAATATTGTGCTAAATTTTAGCAGTTACATCTCATGGTGGTGTAACAACCCAGCAACAGTCTTAAAAGAAGAAGAAATTATAGACTATCAACTTAGTACTATAGTTTCAAGGTATGTGCATGAATATCTAGTAATGAACAATAAACTCACTATAACGCATACGTATGAAATACTATATTTTCGTAAAAGTCATCTAATGTTCTAATGCAATACAAATGATTCCCAAGCTTCATCCAGAGAGAGATACAGGTATAATTTTCACTAGATCCTTGTGAAAAATAGTTACCTGCTCAACCACAGCCCATTCATGGAAAAAGCCTGGTTCAGACTCATTAGGCCACATCTGATCCGTTGTAATGATAGCAGCAATGGTCTTCCTATCTCTCTGTTTTCCTCACTCGAATGCATTCCAAACATAGTCAAAATATCAGTGCTCCTACATCACTAAAGGTTTTGCTTCACTCAGGAAATCTTGAAGTTCCCAAAATGTTCTGGCATTGTCTTTTGCCCCAAAACCAGGCAAAGAGTTTTTTGTTTAATATGTGCCCAGGTATCTAGCACTATGTCCCTTTCAGGTTCATTTTCCACAACTTCTGCAAAACAATTCTCAGATCTATTGAACTTGTAGATGTCCTAAACATGGTTTCCTCTTGGCTGTATTTCTTATGGAACTTCCTCTGAAAAGGAACACGCTCTCTGCTAACATCTACCTATCAAATCTCTAGTCATGTTTTAGGTACTCAATCAAAAATCTCTCCCTTTTTCCTAGTCGTACTTACTGGAAATCATCACTCCACCTTTTAAATTTTTATAGTACTCACAATTTGCAGATACTATAAAAAGTTAAGTGTATAAATAAAAGCTTGAAAAGTATTTCTACATTCATGTGGATGTTTTCTGTATTTTATTTCTGTGAAGTAAATCAAATATTTACTGAAAGAAAAAAGATACAAAACATTGGCTGAGGTTCTATGTGACTCTAAATGTTTAAATAGAGTATTGCAGACATCCAAATTTTGAAAGTTGGATTTGAGCTTTGGCTCTGTCACTTTCCAGCATACTGTGTAGCAGTTTGGAATAATGAGATTACCTGGAGTCACTTCCCCGCTTCATTATTTAACAAGCTAGAGGACTTTGGGAACGGATTGTTTTATCATTTATGCCATTATAAACACTTTTATAAATGACCTTATTTAATCTTCATAATGGCTCTTTTAGGAAGTATTATTATCTCCACTTTCTAGATGGAACTGGTACCAAACTCTTTCAAATGTTTATAGTATGATTGTTATTTTTATTTATTTATTTATTTATTTATTTTGAGCCCGAGTCTTATACACTATCGCCCAGGATGGAGTGTGTTGGCACGATCTCAGCTCATAGCAACCTGTCTCCTGGTTCAAGCGATTCTCCTACCTCAGTCTCCCATGTAGCTAGGATCACAGGTGCATGCCACCATGCCCAGCTAATTTTTGTATTTTCAGTAGAGACAGGGTTTCACCATGTTGGCCAGGCTTGTCTCAAACTCCTGACTTCAAATGATCCACCTGCCTTGGCATCCTGAAGTGCTAGGATCACAGGCGTGAGTCACTGTACACAGCCCATGATGGTTATTTTTAAAGGTTTAGTACTGAATTATTATACTTCTTAAAATACCTTATTTCCCTGACATAAACAAAAATATTTCAAAAAGACGTTCGTTTATATGTGAATACTCTTCACTCCTCAAACCCTCAAGTAGCAGTACTGTACTCAATACACTTTGTTGTTTAGTAAGTACTTTCTGCCTTACATTGAATTCCTATAGACAAATTTCAGCCTGAAGTACTTAACTATTAAAAATAGCAGACAAACAATTTTTGGTGATTTTGCAGGGCTTACATTGTTAGCCTAGGAAAACCTTGATTCCCAGAATGAATTTCAAAGTTCCTACCTTCACACCTAGACTGGCCCAAGATGCTATGGCAGCTTTAAATACAGGAACACCTGGTGTTGTTGGAAGTGTCCCACACAAGCCAACTTACAGATTTCCACATTATCTGTATCTCCATGCATTAACAAAGATCAGAACTTATTAGTGAGAAACTATAAAAAGGAAAGAACATTTGTTTTACATATGGAAAAGTCAGACACATATGGAAGCTCTGTTTAATCTTCTTAGAAATGATAAAGACAGTTTTAATTCAAATTTTATAAGTGATTAATACAAAGTAAAAGTGCCTGGGCTTCAGCATCAAAAATTATATTGATGTCAACAATTCTAATTATAGTTGTACAGTAAGCATTGGGTGCTATTAGCAAGAGATATAGAGCCATTATGAGACTGCCATAGAGAAATGGGTCTCACCTTGTTATTTTGAGTCCTGAAAAGGATCTTCCATTGTTCTGTAACACTAATTTTAACATTAAAAGGATTCATTAGGAGTCTACTTATATGTTACTTTGTTAAGTGTTGCTCAATGCCTGTTAAGCAGCCGTAACCCCAATTTGTTCCTAGAACATTTATTAACTACCCATGCAAGGAAGAGTAAAGGTTTTACCCTATTTGCAGCTCTTCAGTAACAGTGTGTTTGAATACCTGAGACTTAATAGTTCAATGCAGTAACAGAATTCTCACTTCCTCATAGTAGCTTTCCCCAAGTCCGGATAGAACCAGTTGTCCTACAGGTTTTATCTCCAGCACTTACTTCAATTGTGATTAACTGTGGAATTTATTTGCTAGCCATCGTCCAGACTAATCTGTAAATTCCACAAATCAGAGCCGAGTCTATGTTATTCTATACTGTAAGCACTTAGCATGGTGTATGGCAAATACTTGGCCATCAAACGTATGTTGAATGAAAAATATATATCATTGTTAAGATAATCAGTTTAAGCAAATGTTTCAGACCCTAAATATTGGAAAGTTTAGGAAACACAAGCAATAACTAGGAAAGCATAAAGAATTAGTTAGAGGAGCCTTGGAGTGGTAGCTTATGCCTATAATCCCAACACTTTGGCAGTCCAAGGTGGGAGGATCACTGAAGGACAGGAGTTTGAGACCAACTTGGTCACGATAGAGAGATTCTGTCTCTATAAAAAAAAAAAGTTGTTTTTAAGGCCGGGCACGGTGGCTCATGCCCGTAATCCCAGCACTTTGTGAGGCTGAGGCGGGCGGATCACCTGAGTTCCGGAGTTCGAGACCAGCCTGACCAACATGGAGAAACCCCGTCTCTATCAAAAATACAAAAAATTAGATGGGCGTGGTGGTACATGTCTGTAACCCCAGCTACTTGGGAGGCTGAGGCAGGAGAATCACTTGAACCCAGGAGGTGGAAGTTGCTGTGAGCCGACATGGTGCCATTGCACTCCAGCCTGGGCAACAAAAGTGAAACTCTGTCTCAAAAAAAAAAAAAAAAAAAAAAAAAAAGGAAAGAAAGAAAAACAATTGTTTTAATTAGCCAGGTCTGGAGGTGCACACCTGTAGTCCCAGCTACTCAGGAAGCTGAGGTGGCAGGATCACTTGAGCCCAGGAGTTCCAGGCTGCAGTAAGCTATGATCACACTTCTGCACTCCAGCCTGGGTGGCAGAGAGAGATCCTGTCTTTAAAAAATAAATAAATAATAAAATAGGAGAAGGGAAAAGCAGTGATTTTTTTCAGGAAAGCAGAAAAGAGCTGAGACTAATAAATCCTTTCATTTGAAGAGATGGGTTGGTGTAGAGGTGGTGAGGTGTGGAGAGGCTATCCATAAGGCATTTGTGAAAATATTATCTAAGCCACAAACAGTTCAATTGTAAATCAGTAGACGTTTTGAATGGGATTTCCTCATCCTCCCTTCACATCACTGTCCCCAGGAACAAAGTTATCAGTGGTCTCAGGGCCAGCCCCTCACCCAGCTGGGACAGCCTGGGCAATGGCTGTGGCCATCAATCTCCTCAGACCAATACATATTTCCTCAGAAGCTAGGCACAACCCAAATATTTGCTGTCACCAGGCAGTAGAAATGTTAATAGCAAAAGAAGCAAACATTTTTCATTTGGGCTTTTCCTTTGTGATGCTAAAAAAAAAAAAATGAGGTAAAAAATCACCATGGCAATGAATGGAAAGCTGCTAAATCTGTAGGGACATCAAAAGTGTTAGGCTCTCAGAATCAAAATAAGGAGAACAATAGTCTCTCCCTACCCTTCCACCCAAGCATACACACACTGCATAGACGACAAGAAATCTTTCCATCAGATCCAGACAGTCAGAAAGTTTGAATATTTTCGACATGTACTCTCATTCATTTAATTCTAAAGTACTTTAGTTTTCAAGCAAAAGTGGAAATAAAGCATTTCACAGTCCAGGTTTATGCCAAGACTTGCCGCCTCTAGGGAGGTCTCTCCTCCACCCACACACCCCCAGAATGGGCCTGTTCCTTCTTTTAAATTCTAATCTGAAAATGGCACATTCTTCCGATTTGCCCTCTAGCCTTCTTGGCAGACTATCAGGATCCACATCTTCTCCTGTGGAAGGTCTAATTATTAAGTAATTAAAGTTCATTTAATAAAAAGAGACTTATCAATTGGGGGACAGACCTTGGGGTTGGAAACACGCCTTGCTTTTAAATATTCAGCAGTGTGGTAATACTCTGCAACTGCCAGAGGAGAGCGGCTGTAAATGCTTTGTTTGCTCCAAATTAAAGCCTGAAGGTTACATCCCTTCAAAGCCAGACCTCCTTTGCCCTTTTAAATTCTCAAATTAGCCAAAAGGCAGAGAATAGAGGCAAGCCAAAGAGACATTCTCTAGAATTAGTCCTTTTCAAAAAGCAGCCAGAAGGCCAATAAAAGATATGCAGGGCATTTGGTAGAAGCTCATTTTGGCCTGTACTTGCCACATCCCTCTGCAAGCTATCATTTCCCTTTTTTTATTCTCCCACTCCTTTTTATTTTTGCTTCATTTCCACTGGCAAAATTACAGACTCCCAGGTGGTTGGCTGAAGAGCAATTGCTCTATGGTGGACATTGCAAAGGAAGTCCTGGTAAGCATGTCTGGTAAGTGCCAGCGATGTTCACCCTATGTGATCTTATAAGAAGCAATCACATGACCAAATGAATGAACCTCTAAAGGATGTCAAAGGGAAAGAAAAACAGTATAGGCAGATTACCCAGATACTATAGGCAGATACTATTAAAAAGTTAAGTGGATAAATAAAAGCTTGAAAAGTATTTCTACATTCCTGTGGATGTTTTCTGTATTTTATTTCTGTGAAGTATATCAAATATTTACAGAAAGAAAAAAATACACAAATATTGGTTGAGGTTCTATGTGACTCTAAATGTTTGAATAGAGTATTGCAGACATCCAAATTTTGAAAGTTGGATTTGAGCTTTGGCTCTGTCACTTTCCAACATAGTCTGTAGCAGTTTGGAATAATGAGATTACCTGGAGTTTGTCCAGCTCTGCAAGCTTAGCAGCACACAATGACCTCTTGCCCTAGGCCAAAAATAGGCAAGGAGTAAGGCCATCAACTAAGTCTTTCTCAGAATCATCTTTGGGGTTTGTCCAATATAACATCCTCTGTAGTGTTGGTACTGTTCCAGATCCTTGAAGCAATGAAAGCCTGACTATACATGAGACCCAGAAACAGACGGCCATTTGGGGACTCCTATAATCCCCATGACCAAGAGTCAGTTTAAAGCCTGGTCTATCATAATCTCACCTAAGAGCATTGCTAGGTTATTTCTTAGCTGGCCTTCAAAGCCATGGAGTAATTCAGGATTCTCCGGAATCATCCTTCTTAGTAATATCCTCAGGACCCCTGGTGGTTCATACTTTGCCCCATTGTATAATTAGGAAAGGATACTGTCTCTGAGGGAATGAATTTTATAAAGGCACTGCACAGAATCAACCCAGTAAATCCAGAACTGGATTTCAGCCCCTACCCAGCTTTCCCCTGGAGGTGGTGATCAGACATGAACTACAACGTGTCCTAACAGTCCTGCTCCTCTTGATTTCAGTATCAACAATCAGACAAGCGTGAGCTGGCTTGTCCCATCAATATCTTTGATTAATTATAGGGCCAACAGAGGCAGTTTTGGGAAGCATTGTTCTAGGTAGCATTTTAATAACTTTATTTCCTCCAGTCAAGCTATATTATAATATCTATTCTGAGCACAAGGTTAAATAATAGTTTTACCACCTCTTCCTCAAACTCACATGGTGTTGTCTTTCTAGATTCTTCTTAAAATCTAATCAAATTATACTGAACATCAATGCCATTTATGTATGTGAAAGTTAGAATGAAGTCCTTCTTACAGAAGGTACTAGATAGCAAATAATGAATAGTGGCAACTATCTTTCATCTTAGCTCTGCTGTCATCTTTGGTGACTGAAAGAGGTCGCTTAACTGTGAGTATGCATTAAGCCAAATGCAGACTCATACTTAATGTGTAGATCAGCTAGGAGTTTATTATTTGCTTGTTTTACTTTAATGTAAGATTTTCTATAGAAATTCTTTAAATTTCTAATGTGGACAAATATTCACTAGTAATTAAAACTGAAAATATAACAAAAATGAGATAGGACCTTAGCCTATCAGTGTTGCAAAAAACCTCTTAAAATGATAATTAACAATACTGTGAAAGTGTGAATTGATACACCACCTCAGTAAAGTGATTTGAAATTTGCATCATAGCAATTTAACCACGGCTGGGTGCAGTGGCTCACACCTGTAATCCTAGCACTTTGGGAGGCCTAAGCAGGCGAATCACCTGAGGTCAAGAGTTTGAGACCAGCCTGGCCAACAAGGTGAAACCTCGACTCAACTAAAAGTACAAAAATGAGCCAAGTGTGGTTGTGTGCGCCTTTAATTCCAGCTACTCGGGAGGCTGAGGCATGAGAATCACTTGAGCCCAGGAGGCCGAGATTGCCATAAGCCAAGATTGCGCCACTGCACTCCAGCCTGGGCAACACAGCAACAGTCTGTCCCAAAACAAACAAAAAAACCAATTTAACTCAATTTTTCTTCTAGGAATCCATACATAAGTATACAAAAAGAAAAGTTACATATGTATTCAATATTGTTATTTAAAATAGTAAAAAATATAAAATGGGCTAATTGCACAATTGGTAATTGGTTAAGCAAATTATAGTATATCCACTGTACATAACATTATACATCCATAGAAAATTATGTTAATAAACTTTTTTTAAATGAGCGAAAATTATATTGCTCATTTTTTTCTAAAACAAGCATATCTTTAAAAATACAAAAGGAAACTTTCCTAATGTTTCTAATACTCTATTCAGTGCATTATATTCAGTGAAATTTGCAAGCAACTCTTCACGAGCATATTGATTTCATGAAGACATGTTTACCTCTACAAGCTTTGACAATAATTTTAATTCTTCTGCATGTAAAATTCTTAATACAAAAACCTGAGATTGGTTTATAATCAATAGTAATGAATAGTTTTACAGAATTCAGGCTGAGGCTTTCTATTAAGCTAAAAATCTCATTACACATGGCTAATGAATGGTTGCAATGCTCATAAAAGTTGATTGTGAATACGGCTGATATTTGTTGGGCCTACTTGGAAGTATGCACAATTCAGGATAGGCAAATCCTTCAAAAGCAGAAAAGCAAACTCTTTAAGTTGGTATGATCTTCTGTTTTTCATCACATCACTGTCACCACCCTTTCCCTATTTTATCAAGGTTCTTCTTCCATGCACCCCTACCTGCACTGACTGCATTACTTAATGAGAATTCCCAGATCACCCACTCATTCAGTCAGTCAGTCAGTGTGGTGACTAATTCTACGTGTCACCTTGACTGGGCCGTGGGGCACCCAGCCTTTTGGCCAAACATTATTTTGGATGTGTCTATAAGGGTGTTTCTAGATAAAATTAAAATTTAAATCAATAGACTGAATAAAACAATGTCTTCCCCAGTGTGGGTGGGCTTTATCCAATCCGTTAAAGGCCCAAATAGAACAAGAAGCAGAATAAAAGAAAATTCATCTTCTGCCTGACTGCTTGAGCTGGGACATTAGTCTTCTCTTGCCTTTGAACTGAGACTTGAACTGGAACTTTCACCATCAAGTCTCCTGGTTCTGAGGCCTTCAGATTCTAACTGGAACTATACCATCATGTCTCCTGGGTCTCCAGCTTGCCAATTATAGATACTAGGACTTCTAAGCCTCCAGAACCATGTGAGCCAATTCCTTGTGATCAATCTCTTTCTCTGTCTCTATTTATCTTTCTAAATAGATGGATAGATCCTATATATTATATAAAATATTTATATATCACATAAACATATATTAATATATAAAAATAATATAAATACATACTTATATTGTGTGTATGCATGTGTGTGTGTGTGTGTGTGTGTATGTGTCCTGTTTCTGGGGAATCCAGAGTCAGTCAGCATTTATTGGACATCTAATATGTGCCAGGGATCATCCTAATTGCCTGAGGAATACAGTGATGAACAGTACCAGTTTCTTTCCTCAAAGAGTTCATAGTCTAGTAGGAAAGGCAAATATATAGCATAGCGCACTGTGACAAAAATGAAAGATGCTGGTGGAGCAAAGATAGCGTAATCCTCAGTGATGCCTATTGGGAAATCAATAATCAGAAAAGAGCTTCAGAAATGGTGGACTATGGCTGGGTCTGGAATAAAGAATGGGAGTTCACCAGATGCCCAAGATACAAAAGGACATTCTAGACAGAGAAGCAACATGTGTAAAGAAAAAACAGTGAATCTAAAGACTGCACATGTTTTTAGAGATGGCAAGTAAGTCAGTAAATAATGGGAAGCAGTGAGTTCGAAAACTTATGTTTTTTCTCCTTCATAAGAGAGCCTGATACTGTTTTTTTTAAATTGTATTATAAGCCTTGTGTGTTTTGACTACAGAAGTACTGTGATCTTCATGAGGGGGGAATCTATGACTCCTGTGTTTTGGTATTATTCCCTAGGTACACAGTAGCACTCAATAAATATTGACTAATACCCAAATTAATTAACAGATAGTAACATATGTTTCCGGTATATTAACATGTTATATCATGTTATGTAACAACTTGTGCTATGTTATAGTTAAGTCCTGTTACTGTTCAGAAAATGATTCAATCTTCTGGATTTCAGAATTCCAAGGTAGGAATACAGAATTCACATCCAGCATATTTTCTGAAGGAAACATTACAAAACCCTAACAAGGATTTTCATAAACAAAGAAACTTGGCAAGACATTTCCCTATTCATTTCAAAGGTCATTGAAACAAGAATTTATTGGGTTATAATTGTTTCAAACTTTTAATTGAGCATGTTACCCAAAGGATTAAATGATCTTCTATCTGACCGTCTATTAACCCAAGTTCCTATTTTTCTTCTTCCCAGTGGCAGTCATTGAATACATACCAGGCACTGTATTAGGTTTATTAATATAAGCTTTTGCCTTCATATGGCTGTAAATGGCCCTGCTGAGATTCTCTGGCAATACTTTTTACTCTACATTTGTTTCATAGGACTACCCTCTTCTCAATATAAGTGATTTTTTTTCCTGCCAAAGACATGTGCCTGAGTGCTATATTCAAAATCTTTAGAGAGAGACAAAAAAAAGGAGAAGCCTAAATGAAACAAGTTTTCAATACAAAGATGCAGTAGAGAGAGTAGTCTGCCCAAAGCCTTTATTCCGTATTATATAATTCATTAAAGTTAATTTGGTAATAGCTAAGATTCACATCAAATATACCAAAAGGAGTCAATTTTTTCCTCTTATAATTTTAATATATTTTTCCTCCCCATAAAATCCATTTTGTAAAATAAGAAGCCAGAAATCCCAACAGAAATAATAATTTAGATTAAAGACTTCTGGTAAATCTATATAATTTTAATTTCAATTTGGAAGTACCTACTGGGGGAAAATTGGAGCTAATAAAATGCATTTTCATACTGTGCATGCATTTGCACAATGAAAATGGAAAACCAAAATATTTCTGCTTAACTATGTAACTTGTGTGATTTTCAACCTTCTCTACTGAGACTCTGAAAAAATCAAAACTTGTTTAAGAATTACCAAATTTTTGATAACCTGACCCAGAATAACATGATATAATAGCCACTCGAAGGGAAAATGACAATGTTTGACGCTAAAGTTTATAGTCTGAAATGTGTCTCAAACTCACCAGAATCAAAGCTCACCACAAAAGCCTGAAATGATCTTTTATCTCAACACATTTTGTTCTGTACTTACTCCCCAGCAATGATTGGGCTGTAGAAAAATGTCAGTACGTTGGAGAATAGTAAATCATCCTTCATAAAAATCTTTCAGTTGTGGGGTCATTCTCCTGGGTCCAGTTATATCACATGACACCTAGTCTGAGAAGAAAGATGGGGAAAGGACACACCTGGGAAGTCAGATATATTTCTACCCTGCTTCTTTGGGGCCACTATCTGGCTGCAGGTATGTGTGGTAGGAAGTAAATTATCCCTTCAGAACAGCTTTAAACCTCAAGTGTCAGGGTACTTATGCAGTTTTTATAGAATCAGCAACAACATTGCTTCCAAGCTTGTTTATGACCTTTCCTGATGGTAATATCCATGAACTTAAAAAGAAGTATTAAAGCATCAAGAAGTATTTATTTAAAAGATGCGTGGTTCAATAGGACATGGGCTTTGAAGCTCAGTGGGCCAAGAGGAACATGGCAAAAGATTAACCTGGGGCTGTAAGCAGGGTGGATAATTCAGATGTCATCCACCACTTTAGTAAGTCTGCATTTTATTTCAACCACACTGAGATGTTATTAAGGGATTTTAAGCAAGGAAATGACGTGATCAGATTTACATATCTGGAAGATCATTCTGGCTGCTGTATAGAGAATAGTTTGAGGTGGTGGTGGTGAATACAAGAGTGGAAGCAGGAATCTCAGAGAGAAACTTAACAGCAGTCAAGGCAAAAGGAAATAGACAAGTAAGGTAATAGTGGGATGGAAGAAAGGAGAAAGTCTAGCTATATTTTGATGTATAATGAACAGAACCTATTGAATGTTGAATATGTTTATGAGGAAAAGGGATGGGTCAAGAACAAACCTCAGTTTCCAAGTAAAATATTTAGGCTGTGATTTTGCTTAGGTTATGTAGGTATAAAAATGCAGTGGTATGGAAGATAGCAAAAAATATAATACATGTGAGCAAGAGATATGGTTAAAAATTAAACAGGAGTAAGAGGCTAATTATTCAATGTCAATCTCTGAATCTCAAAAATGAAAAAGGTTAGAGAGGTTGACCCCCAAGGTTTCTATCATTTATAAAAATACATTACTTTGTGATTCTATGTTTAAACAACCTAATATGTGGTCAGACTTTACATTCATCCATGTCATTCATTCATGACATAATTTATGTCAATCATTCAGGACATAATTTAACAAAACTAATGTAATAGACACACCAGACACTGAAGCTACTGAAGCAAATTATAAACATTCCCCATCATTGCCCTAAGGGAGCTGCCTGTCTAGTAGAAAATGCAGAGTTCACCAGGCAACATTTATCATCAGGGTTCTTAATAGAGGAGCTTAAAAACAAGCCTAGGGACTTATGGTAAGAGAGAAGTCAATGAAAACCCCAATATTACAGAAATCTGACCGACTCAAGTTAATTTGAGCATTAATTTGAACATGAAATTATTATTTCCTTTGCTTATAACTAAGCTATCTTGTCATTTATTGAGCCTTCTTATTAATTTTACACCATTTACACTGATTTAATTGGTTTTGTAGATAGAACTCTGGTTCCCAAAGGTTGTCTAAATATTGCTATTTTAAAGTCATTCCGCTTTTCAAGGAAGAGAAGATCAAGAACATACATTTAAAACAGCTGAATTTATGTTAAATTTTGCCAGGTTCTATGACTTTGCTTTGAATCAAAGTTTGTGTCCTTTGAGGCAAACTCTTTTCATATATTTTACTCTTCTCTTAGCCTCAGAATTTGGGGATTTGAGATGATATTTAAAGTGACGCATAGATACTTCTACATCAGAACAGTATTTGAGACACATATCGATATTTTATTGTAATTGTAGTTTGTCCTTTTGGAAAATTGCTATGGAACTGAGTCTTAGATATAGAACTATCTATTAAGATACCAACAGAGTTCATCAATCTGGGGCCACCTATGAGTGATATGTGAGGTATGTCTTCAAGGTAATCTCTCACTAGTAAATTTACAAAGTGTTAACCTAACTTTAAGCTTAAATCTGGGAATATCATAACACATCAATATTTTCCAAATTTCTTACCTGATATGTACCATAGTGAGCTGTTTTAGGCGGTTTTATGAAATCATTTACTAGGAATTCTTGTTTCCTATATTTCTTTATCAGTAACCATATGTTCTATCCCCACTAGTCTTCTCATTGAGCTCCTAAGCATGACTTTATATTTTCCTGTATACCTCACCAGCTATGCCTCCCTCTGGCTCCAACCCTGTGTTCAATTAGTTTGCTCTTTCCCAACTCATAAGGGTTAAGCCTTGGTTGGAATTGCTCAACATTGCATCCTCTTTGCCTGGTACACAGCAGACACTCAGTAAATATTTGTTGAATGCACAGCTAAAATATCGGAATTTAACTCAAACTCCTAAAACCAAATCAAATCTATTTTTCTATTTTCTTTGTTGATATTGCATAGATCTTAGTTTCATTGACACTCATTTGGAAATCAGCAGCTATTTATTGGTACAGATACCATATTTTCATCCAATTAAATTTTAGCTTGCTGAAGGTCAGATATAGTACTCTATATTTCTTTGGATATTCACACTGTCTTGCATAGTAAAAACACCAATTAACACTCTCCTTGTTTTAAGTCTGATCACAGTAAGAATTATTTTTGTTTTGTGCATTTAGGCAAAGGACCATCTATTAAGATAACTCTAAAATATTCTGCTTCAATTGAATGACTTCATCTTAAAGTTCTGATGACTGGTCCTTTTCATTGCAGAATATTTTGGTGATGACCTCAATTTATGAAAAATTCATTATGGTAATTCAGAATTTAAAACTTATAATAATTTCAACCCTAAAGGGTTGGATTCTCTTTGAAACAACTAATAAATGTTTTGTAAGCAATTAACTGTACAAACAAGATTTACAGTACACTCTATATTTTGTAAAGTGACTTCTGTTTCTGAAACGTAGAACCCAATTATAAATTTTCTACCCCACTTCTCAATCCCTGCTTTACCTTGATGGCTTTCATGTCAATAGCTACATATCTGTCCAAAATCATTCTATAAGCTTCTCACAAGTAAGAATGAGACTTCAGTTGTTTTGTAGTCTCAGCCCAGCACAGCACATTTAGAGTAGTATGTGGTCAATGGCTATTGGCTGATTAATTATTGAAAGCCTGATATTTCATTCGTTACTTCTTTCTGTCCTTCCATACTCATCTACTATCATTTTCAGAACTCCCTAGTGGTTTAATGAAAGGGATCTGAATATATACAAATCTTAGATTTATCACTTTAAAGCTAGAAAGGGCCTTACTGATCAAATATATTCAATCATTTCCTTTTATGAAAGAATACATAATGAATATGAAAAAGTAAAGATTTTTACCCCATCTCCAATTCCTAGTTCCATATCTTATATATTAGAGGTTCTCCACATCTAATCTTTAATTGATGATTGAAAACACATTTCCATCTAAATGCATTAGTGCTGAGCATTCCCTCCCCTGTTGAGCTTCCTGTTTGAAAAGCCAATTAAATTGGTTATATTATGTATTATATTGTGACATGTTTATATGTGTATTTATGTGCATGATTAATATTCATACATGTGCTTGTATGTATATATATGTGTGTGTATATATAGATATCTGTGTAAAGAGGGGTGTGTGTATATGTATACTTATATATGCAAAAGTCTAGTCAAATATATACATATATCCCTCTATTTTTATGTGGGCTTCTGTATATACACATACACATTTGCTTCACATGTTTTCTTGCTAAAATATATGGTAAACTATTAAAACCAGTGGTGAATTCATTGGGAAAAGCAATCTTATCACAGGGCATTGTTTTTTGTTGTTAAAAAGTAATTTTATGTTAAATAACTGACATAATTAAGAAAAATGTTTTTTGCAATATTTATATATATGTATGTATTTTGCCTTTATAGAATAGAACACTTTTCATACTTGTTATTTCCAGTACTTTTTTTAAGTAATCAGAACATAGATCTAGAAATAAGCTGACTTGGGTTCTTTCATTTAGAGAAATGGTAATAGTCTTATAAACCTTGAACTTGTCCATAACAGATTTTTTAATATGATTCAAACTCATCAGAGAAGATGCCTTATTATTCACACCAAGCTGAACTGCTAATTTTCAGAGACAAATGCACCTGTGGAAAAAGAAATCCTATCTTTAAATTGTATTATCCACTGAGAAGACCACATACTGTTTTGTCCTTGTTGTTAATACAGAAATCAGAGGGTGTAAATCTCTTCATCTTTTTGTCAGCACTTCTGGCCAGGGTGTTAATGGCCTGCAGCCAGGAAGTTGTATAGGCTTCCAGCCAATCAGCAATGAGACCATTTAATTAGCTTTTCAAACAGGAAGCACAACAGGGGAGGGCATGCTCAGTGCTAATACATTTAGATGAAAAAGTATTTTCAATCACCAATTAAAACAAAGGACAGGAGATTTTAATTCTTTGTGATATAAAATGGATAAAGAGACTCACTTCATTTATTAAGTGATAAAGGCTAATTTTACTAATTGAAAGTGCATTTTCAGTGTCTTAAGAGACTTTCTTTCAAAGGCTAAACCCAGTTTCCCCCTGCCAAAATGAAAGTGCTGTATTACTTCAGTGAAAACCATAAGAAAGGTCTCCTACTTGGAAAAACCAACAGATCTAAGAGCAGATGGTTTGGGCTGATACAGAGGCTGCAAACTAATTCTGAGAAAAATTGGATTTAAAAAATCATGACATTAATAATTACTATTAAAAGTTGGATAAGCTATACTATGAAACTGGATATTCCAAATTTTGACATTTTGAGGGAAAAAATATCTAGAAGTTGAGATAAACAATTGCCTAAAATTGTGACTTGGAAATGATATTCTCTGGTATCCACAGGGATTGTATTATAAAAGCATTAAAGATTATATAATTTGTAAGCAACTTTTTAAAACATTCGTTAATGAATAAGAGGGGAAGTGACCCTCGATTCTATCATCGTGGACAAGATCTAAAAATAAAAGTTTAAGATTAGTATCCTTAAGTCTTAATTGCATAGTATCAATCTCTGAACACCTTCACCTTTTGCTGGAACTACCTTTTGCAGCTAAGATGACACAGATGGAATAAACCTAATATAAAGCATTAGGCAGCACAAAGGATAGAAAATAATATGTTTGGCTCTCCATTTCTGCAAATACATGTTGATGATAGTTTAAAAAAAAAAAACCATTGATGATTGTTTCTAAATGCTAGAAGAGGTAGTACAAGGATAGATGAGCCTGCATTAATTAGTCCTAAAAGTTGCAGAGTGATAACAGGATTTAGATAAAAGCACAAAGAATCTACAAGGTCTTAATTAGTGATCAAATTCAGCACTGAGTTTGCAATACTGTTTCAAGCTTCTGTCTGACTTGAAATCTTGCCTTTCATTCAACATGCCCGTGTTCTCATATGCATTTACCATGGCTACTCCACTCCAGTCTGCTCCTGCTCAGATTACCCTAGAAGAGCCTAGGAGGGCACTGCTATCATCTTGAAGCAGTCAGTGGCAGAAGGCAGCAAACTATAGCTAAAGGGCAAAATCTAGTCCAATGCCTGTTTTTGTGGGACCTACAAGCAAAAACAGCTAAGCAAAATAATTTTTAAAGGAAGAGGAGAGCAGAGTAAGATGGCTGAATAGAAGGCTACATTTGCCATCCCCGCTGACACACACCAAATTTTAACAACCAACTATGCACCAAAAAGCACCATCAGAAGAACCAAAAATCAGGTGGGCACTCACAGTGCATGGTTTTAACTTCATATCGCTAAAGAGACTCTGAAGAGGGTAGGAGATAGTCTTGAATCATCAACACCATCCCTCCCCCTTTTCCCAGCAGAGGAAACAGAGGTTTTGTCTGACCCCCCTCCTCCAATAGACAGGAAAAAAGACAACGAATACGCTACAGCTATGGGACCTTGTCTTAGGCAAGTGACATTAGAAGGGGAGCTCTTAGCCTGCCAGGTAATGCAAGATGCACACAGAGAGAGTCTGTGCAATTGTGGGACAGACAGCACAGCGACTGGGGGACTTTACATTGAACTCAGTGCTGCCCTGTCACAGTGCACAGCTAAGCCCTGCTGGACTCAGCTGGTGCCCATTCATGGACAGAGAATTTGGACGAGCCTAGCCAGAGGGGAATCACCTATTCTAGCAGTCAGAGCTCAAGTTTCTTGGCAGGCCTTGCCACCATGGTCCAAAGCGCTCTGGGGTTCTAAGTAAACTCAAAAGGCACTGTAGGACACAAAGACTTCAATTCCTAGGCAATTCCTAGTCCTGGGCTGGGCTTAGAGCCAGTAGATTCGGATGGCATGTGACCTAGGGAGATACCAGATGGGGAGGCTAAAGGAGTGCTTGCGGCCCTCTTCTCCCAACCCCAGGCAGTGCAGCTTGCAGCAACAAAAATGACTCCTTCCTTCTGCTTGAGGTGAGGAGAGAGAAGAGGAAAGAGGACTTTGTCTTGCATCTTGGATATCAGCTCAACCACAGTAGAAAAGGGCACTGGGCAGAGTTGTAAGGCCACATTCTGGGGCCTATCTCAAAAATGACATTTTAGACACACCATGGTCCAAGAGGGAACTGCTGCCTAGACAGGAAGAATCCAGTCATAGCAGGGCTCATCACCTGCTGACTAAAGAGCCCTTAAGCCCTTAATAACCAACAGTGATGTCAAGTTAGTATGCCAAGGACCTAGAGCCCTGAGATGTTGTGGCTTCAGATGTGATCCAGCACATTCCCAGCTGTGGTGGCTATGATGAAAGACTCCTTCTGTTTGAGGAAAGCAGAGGGAAAAGTAAAGGGGACTTTGTCTTGCACTTTAGGTACCAGCTTTGGCCACAGTGGGGTAAAGCACCAAGTGGACACTTGGAGTCACTGAGTCCAGGCATATAATCTTGGATAGCATGTCTGGACCTGCCATTGTCCAGACGGGAACCCACTGCCCTGAAGTGTGGGTCTCAGGCCTGACAGCATTTACCAAAAGCTGACAGAAGAGCCTTTGGGCTTTAAGTGAATATCAGTGGTGGCCTGGAAGAATCCCGTGTGGGCTGGTGGTAGTGGTGGCCACAGGGAGAGGCTCCTCTGTCTATGGACAGGGGAGGGAAGAGTGGGAATGACTCTTTTGTGGTTTGAGTGCCAGCTTAACCATAGTAGAAGAGAACATCAAGTAAATTTCTAAGGTTTTTGACTTCAACCCCTGGTTCCTAGACAGCATCCCTGGACCTACCCAGGGCCTGAGGGAAGTTGCCACTCTGAAGGGAGGAGAACAAACATGACTGGCTTGCCCACTTGCTGATCATAGAATCCTACATCCTTGAGTGAACATAGGTGGTAGCCAGGTAGTGGTTACAGCAGGCCATAGACAAGACCCAGTGTTGTGTTTGCTTCAGATCTGAACCAGCACATTCCTAGTGGTGGTAGCCACAGGAGTGCTTGTGTGCCCCCAACCCCAGTTCCAGGTGACTCTGCACAGAAAGAGAAATTTCGTTTGAGACAAAGTAAGGAAAATGAATGAGAGTTTCTGCATGGTAACCCAGAGAAGTTTTTCAGATTAAATCTAAGGCCACCATAGTGGTACCTCTATGAGTCTGCAAGAACCACTGCATTATTAGGCTTTGTACCCAAGTTCCTTCAAATACCTGGAAAGCCTTCCCAAGGAGAACAGGCACAAACAAGCCCAGACTGTGAAGACTAAAATAAATGCCTAACTCTTCAATGCCCAGATATTGATGAACATCTGTAATCATCAGGACCATCGAGGAAAACATGACTTTACCAAATGAACTAAATAAGGCACCAGGGATCAATTCTGCAGAAACAGAGATATGTGACCTTTCAGACAGAGAATTCAAAATAGTTGTTTTGAAGAAACTCAACAAAATTAAAGATAACACCGCAAAGAAATTCAGAATTCTATCAGAAATTTCACAAAGAGATTAAAATAACAAGACAGAATCAAGCAGAAATTCTGGAAATGAAAAATGCAATTGATATATTGAAGAATGCATCAGAGTCCCTTAATAGCAAAACTGATTGAGCAGAAGAAAGAATTAGTGAACTTGAAGGCAGGCTATTTGAAAATACATGGAGGAAATAAAAAAAAAAGGAATAAAAAACAATGAAGCACACTTACAAGATCTAGAAAATAGACTTAAAAGGCAAATATTTCAATGGTCTTCAAGAGGAAGTAGAGAAAAAGATAGGAACAGAAAGTTTATTTAAAGGGATACTATCAGAGAAGTTCCAAAACCTAGATAAATATATCAATATTCAAGCACAAGAAGGTTTATTGAGCACCAAGGAGATTTAACCTGAAGAAGACTACCTCAAGGAAGCAAACTCCCAAAGATCAAGGATAAAGAAAGGATCATAAAAGCAGTAAGAGAAAAGAAACAAATAACATACAATGAAGCTCCAATATGTCTGGCAGCAGAGTTTTCGGTGGGAACCTTACAGGCCAGGAGAGAGTGGCATGATATACTTAAAGTGCTGAAGGAAAATAACTTTTACCCTAGAATGATATATCCAGTGAAAATATATTTCAAGCAAGAAGGAGAAATAAAGCCCATCCTAGATACACAAAACTTAGGGGATTTCATCAACACCAGATATGTCCTACAAGAAATGCTAAAGGAATTTCTTCAACTTGAAAGAAAAAGATGTTAATAAGCAATATGAAATGATCTGAAGGTACAAATCTCACTGATAATAGCACACAGAAAAACACAGGATATTATAACGCTGTAATTGTAATCTATAAACTACTACTCTTAAGTAGAAAGACTTAACAATGAACAACTCAAAAGCAGTAACTACCACAACTTTTCAAGAGTACAATAAGTACAATAAGTCACAGAGAAACAACAAAAAATTAAAAAGCAAGGAGACAAAGTGTAGAGTTTTATTAGCATTTTGCTTGTTTGTTTATGCAATCAGTATTAGGTTGCCATCAATTTAAAAGAGTGAGTTATAAGATAGTCTTTGCAAGCCTCATGGTAACCTCAAATTGAAAAATATACAGTGGAAACACAAAAAATAAAAAGAAAGAAAATATATCACTAGAGAAAATCACCTTCACTAAAAGGAAGACAGAAAGAGATCTCACACACACACACACACACACACACACACACACACACACACATAAATAAATAAATAAATAAATAAAAAATAAAATAAAAATAAAACAGAAAACAAATAACAAAGTGACAGGAATAAGTCCTTACTTATCAATCATAACATTGAATGTAAGTGGTCTAAAATCTCCAATCCAAAGCCATAGAATGTCTTAATAGATTAAAACATGAGACCCAATGATCTGTTGCCCACAAGAACCACATCTCACCTGTAAAGATGCACATGGACTGAAAACAAAAAGATAGAAAAAAATACCCCATGCCAATGAAGACAAAAAAAGAGCAGAAGTAGCTATACTTGTATTAGACAAAATACACTTAAAGACCAAAACTGTAACAGGAGAGAAACAAGTCTATTATATAATGATAAGGAGTCAATTCAGCAGAGGATACATCAACTGAAAATATACACACATCTAATGTGGGAGCACCCAGACATATAAAGCAAATACTGTTAGCGCTAAAGGAAGAGATAGACACCAATATGATAACAGCTGGACAACACCCCACTTTCAGCATTGGACGGATCCTCCACACAGAAAATCAACAAAGAAACATCAGATTTAGTCTGTGTTAGAGACCAAGTAAGCCTAATAGCTATTTACAGTACATTTCATCCAATGATTGCAGAATACAAATTCTTCTCCTCAGGACATGAACCATTCTCAAGGATAGACCATAGGTTAGGTCACAAGTTTTAAAACATTTCAAAAAATGAAACTAATATCATGCATCTTTTCTGACCCCAGTGTAATCAAACTAGAAATCAATAACCAGAGGCATTTTGGAAACTATACAAACACATGGAAATTAAACAGTATGCTCCTGAATCAAGAAGAAAATTGAAAAATTTGTTGAAACAAACAGTAATGGAAACACAACATTCCAAAACGTGTGAGATACAGTAAAAGCACCACCAAGAGGGAAATTCATAGTTATAAGTGTCTACATCAAAAAGAAACAAAAACTTCAAATAACCTAATAATGCATCTTAAAGAACTAAAAAAGAAAAGGCAAGTCCAAACCAAAATTGTTTCCAGATGAAATGATCTTATATTTGTAAAAACCTAAAGGATCCCTATAAAGAACTAAAAAAGAAAGGGCAAGTCGAACCCAAAATTGTTTCTAGATGAAATAATCTTATATTTGTAAAAACCTAAAGGATCCCTAAAACAACTATTAGAACTGATAAACACATTCAGTAAAGTTGCAGGATATAAAATCAACATACAAATCATTAACATTTCTATATACCTACACTGAACAATCTGAAAAAGAAATAAAAAGTAATCCCATTTACCATAGCCACACATAATATTAAATACTTTGAAGTTAACCAAAGAAGTGAAAGATCTCAAAATGAAAACTATTAAAAACTAATGAAAGAAATTAAAGAAGACATACAAAAATAGAAAGATATTTCATGTTCATGGATTGGAAGAATCAGTATTTTTAAAATTTCCACACTACTCAAAGCAATCTAAAGATTCAATGTAATCCCTATCAAAGCACAAATGGCATTCTTCACAGAAATATTAAAAATTCCTAAAATTTATATGGAACCACAGAAGACCCCAAATAGCCAAATCTGTCCTGAGCAAAAAGAAAAAAACTAAAATAATCACATTACCTGACTTCAAATTATACTACAGAGCTATAGTAACCAACACAGCATGGTACTGGCATAAATCCAGACACATAGACCAATGGAACAGAATACAGAACCCAGCAATAAATCCATATACTTACAGTAAATCATTTTCAACAATGAACGGTGGTGGGAAACTGGATATTCATAGGCAGAAGAATGAAATGTGACACTTATCTCTTGCCATATACAAAAATCAAAATGGATTAAAGACTTAAATGTAAGACTTCAATCTATGAAACTACTACAGTAAAACTTTTGGGGAACTCTCTAGAACCTTGGTCTGTGCAAAAATTTCTTGAGTAACATCCCATAAGCATAGGCAACCAAAGCAAAATTAGATAAACTGGGTCACATCAAGTTATACAGCTTCTGCTTGGCAAAGAACAGTCAACATGAAAAGGAAACCCACAGATTGGAAGAAAATATTTGCAAACTACCCATCTGACAAGGGACTAGTAACCAGAATATATAAGGAGCTTAAACATCTTATAGGAAAAAGTCTAATCCAATGTTTTTAAATGGTCAAAAGATTTGAATAAACATTTCTCAGAAGATAATAAAATGGCAAAGAGGCATATGAAAAAGTGCTCAACATCATCGATCATCAGAAAAATGCAAATCAAAGCTACAATGAGATATCATCTCTCCTCAGTTAAAATGGCTTTTATCCCAAAGACAGGTAATAAAAATGCTGGAGAGGATGTGGAGAAAAGGGAGCCCTTCTACAGTGTTGGTGGGAAAGTAAATTAGACAACCCCTATGGAGAACAGTTTGTGGGTTCCTCAAAAAACTAAAAATAGAACTATCATATAATCCAGTAATCCCACTACTGCATATATACCTAAAAAAAGGAAATCAATATAACAAAGAGATGTCTGCACTCTCATGTTTGTTGTAGCACTGTTCACAACAGCCAAGATTTGGAAGCAACTTGAGTGTCCAAGAACAGATGAATGAATAAAGAGAATGTGGTACATATGCATAATGGAGTACTATTCAGCCATAAAAAAGAATGAGAGTTAATCATTTTCAACAACACTGATGGAGGTGGAGGTCATTATGTTAAGTGAAATAACTCAGACACAGAAATACAAACTTCACATATTCTAAATTATTTGTAGGAGCTAAAATATCAAAACAATTGACCTCAGGAAATAGATTAGAAGGATGGTTACCAGAGGCTGGGAAAGGTAGTAGGGGTTTCAGGGGGAAGTGGGGATGGTTACGGGATACAAAACATAATTAGAAAGAATGAATAAGGCCGGGCAAGGTGGCTAACGCCTGTAATCCTAACACTTTGGGAGGCTGAGGCAGGCAAACTCATTTGAGGCCAGGAGTTCCAGACCAACCTGGCCAACATGGTGAAACCACATCTCTACTAAAAATACACACATACACACACAAATAGCTGGGTGTGGTAGTGAATGGCTATAATTCCAGTTACTCCAGAGGCTGAGACACAAGAATTGCTTGAACACAGGAGGCAGAAGTTGCAGTGAGCTGAAGCTGAAATGCACCACTGCACTCCAGCCTGGGTGACAGAGTGAAACCCTGTCTCAAAAAGAAAGAAAAAAAAAAGAATGAATAAGACCTAGTATTTGATAGCACAACGGAGTGACTATAATCAATAATAATCTGATAGTACATTTAAAAATAACTAAAAATATGTAACTGGATTGTTTGTAACACAAAGGAAAAATCTTTGATGGGATGAATATCCCATTTTCCATGACATAATTATTACATACCACATGCCTGTATCAAAACACCTCATGCACCCCATAAATATATACACCTACTATGTACCCACAAAAATTTAAAATGAAAAATATTTCCTGACATGTGAAGCATATATGAAATTTAATTTCAATATCATAAAACAAAGAGTAATTGGGACACAGTTATGCCCATTTGTTTACCTATTGTCTATGGCTGCTCTTGAGCTGCGACAGTAGTCCTGACAAAGACCAAACAACATGGCTGGGCATGGTGGCTCAAGCCTGTAGTCCCAGCACTTTGAGAGGCTGAGGTGAGCAGACCATGAGGTCAGGAGTTGGAGACCATCCTGGCCAATATGGTGAAATCCCGTCTCTACTAAAAGTAAAACAATTACCTGGGCATAATGGCACATGCTTGTAATACCAGCTCTACCAGCTCTGAGGAGGCTGAGGCAGAAGAATCGCTTGAACCCAGGAGGTGGAGGTTGCAGTGAGCCGAGATCGTGCCACTGCACTCCAGCCTGGGCGGCAGAGTGAAACTCCATCTCAAAAAAAAAAAAAAAAAAAAAAAAAAAAAGCCAAACAACATATGGGCTAGAAATTTCATGTATAGTTGGTTAACATATTGGGAGAATAACTTCCCAATTTGGCATGATTGACTTGTGTGATCAACTGCACAAAAATGAATGCTTAATACCTTAAGGTTTCATGTAGACACAGCCCCAGGGGGCACTTTATTCCCTCAAATGAAACTTTTATGAAGACAATAAAAAAGAGGAAAGGAAAAAGAAGCAAAGGTTTATGAAAGAGCTTTCTTTCACTTTCCTTTAGGTCCAATTTGATTTCTAAATCTACTCAGCCAGTAACAAGTAATATAGTATTTGTTCTATCAGCAATTGTGGTATTTCCTGCACCTGGTATTAGAGCAGTTTAAGCATGGGAGTCTTTTTAGTACACTTCCCCCAAAATTGCAATCAATACAACTTTTCAGCTTTTTCTCTCTAAGCCTTCTGTGTGAAATAACCTCAAGATAGGATTATAAAGTGATAACTTTGTGCCCGGGTGTGTTTTAGAAGTTCTACACCCATGGAAGTTTTGTCCCTTCAAAATTATTCTACTGATATTCTCAAGTATCAAATATATTTGAGACCAACACCTTTTGAAATACCTTCAGATATCCCAGCACATTAATTACTTTTTCAACAATTGTTTATTGAACACCTACTCTGTGCCAGAAACTACTCCAGTCACTAGGGAAAGAGACACAAGTGACCCGTCCTAGTAAAAATTATATACTCTCAGGGAGAATCAGATAATAAACAAATAAGTAAAAATAACATGTGAGAGAAAATAATGACTTCATGGGGAAAAATAAATTAGGAAAGGTGGTTTAGTGTGTGTTGTCTCAGAGTCATAATAATTTTAAATGGGGAGGTCAGAAAAGGCTACGGGGTTAAAACATTCTAAGCAGAATTAAACGCATGTGCATAAGCTAAATATGAGGATACCTTGGGGACTGCATGTAGGTGGTGATTTGGACAATGTAACACTAATGCAGTCCCAAAACCTACTCTAAAGTCTTTCAAGGTTAGTATGGGAGATAACTTGTTAGTAACTGTTTCTTATCCAAGGGAGAAAGTGAGTTGTGTTATGGACAGTGCCAGAAAAGAGAGTGATTCTTATGGGTTGGGGAAATAAAGTAGGGTTTCTTGAAAGTTAGGTTTTATAGAATGTATTTGAGGATGGCTATGAGGCAGTGTGAATGGAGGGCAATACTAGCAAAGCACATGATCAGAAATTGCTTGGAATTCACAGTTAAGTGTGAACTGTGTCAGTTTGGTTTACATGGCCTGATGAAGCAGATGAGAGAGGAACGTTAGGAAATATGGAGGAAACCCCAAAGTGGGGAGGGGAGTTTTGGGGAGGGAGGAGGAAGCCAGTGAAAGATCATGAATGCTGGGGAAGAGAGTTTATATTTAGCCCCAGAGACACACAGGAAATATGTTTATTTCATGGGTATAGAAATGGAACAAAATACTCAGGAAACAGTATACTCTTTACATTATCATTAATATAGCTTTAAGTGCTACTTGGTGCATGTTTTAGGAGAATACGGGACAGGGAAGCAGATTCATACGTAGATAAAATATGACAAAATATTTGCTTGTAATTTTTTTTAATCTCATGACTTCCACAGAACCTAACTTAGAAACTCCCATTACATCTCTCCTATCATATTTGACAAAGAAAGACACGTTACCAAAACTTTACTAATTTTTTTTTTTATATTGTCTCACTCTGTCACCCAGGCTATAGTACAGTGGTGCTATCTTGGCTCACTGAAGCCTCAACCTCCCCTGGCTCAGGTGATCCTCCCACCTCAACCTCCAAAGTACCTGGGATTAAAGGTGCACACCACCATGCCTGGCTAATTTTTGTATTTTTTATAGAGACAGTCTTACCATGTTGCCCAGGATGGTCCCGAACTCCTGGGCTGAAGTGATCTACCCACCTCAGCCTCCCAAAGTGCTAGGATTACAAGTGTGAGGCACTGCACCTTGCCGAAAACTTTACTAATATTTTGTTTTCTCAACCTACATATTTAGAAACACACACACACACCCTCCTCCCTCTAGACCAATAGTTCGAAACTGGGGCTGCTTTCTTTTTTCTCCAGGGACACTGCCAATGTCTGGAGACACTTTCAGTTGTGACAACAAGGGACGGGCTTGTAATAGGTGTTTGGTAAGTGGAAGCCATAGATGCTGCTAGACTTCCTATAATGCACAAGATGGTCTACCACAACATACAAGTATCTGGACCCCAAGTCAACAGTGTTGAGATTGACCTAGACCAATACACACCAAGGCATTTGTTTCCAGGGTACGATTACAGTATAAAATACAGGTCATCCAGTTAAATTTGAATTTCAGGTAAACAATGAATACATTTTTAGTATAAATGTGTACCATGCAATATTTTAGACACAATTATATTAAAAACATATTCATTGTTTATCTGAAATTCAAATTTAACTGGTGTCATCTATTTTTATTTGGTAAATCTAGCAACACTATTCTAGGGAAATGGAGGGTCTGCGACAAGAGATGATAAACTGGCAGGTGGTTATTTTAGGGAGCAGCCCAAAAGCAAACGTCAGAGGCAATTTTAAAGGGGAGATATGGAAGGCAAAAATCTCTAAGGCAGCTCCTGAGCACAATGCATGTAGGCTCCCCACATTCATGTTTTTGACTCTCAGACCTCATCCTAGACTACTCAGTCAGAATCTGCATTTACAAAGATATTTATGGGCTTCATAAGTACATTTCAATTTGAGAAGCACTGATCCAGACCATTCCTTCTGTTAGCCATTACAATGCAGAATTAACCCTAAACATTATGGGCCCATAATATGGAAATTGTCACTATAAAGCACAGTTCTATGGCTTGAGAAAATACATCTATGTTTTCTTTATAAACTGTGACATCCAATGTAAATACAAGGCTTTCTTAATAATACAATAGTTGAATGATGTAGCCATCAAGTAAAGAATGTATGCCTATGCATATGAAGAATGTATGCCTTTATAGGCCAAATTTGGTAAAACTGGCTGTCAAAATTAAATCCTATTAATAATACAACTCTAAATGGCATTTATCACTGAGAAAAGGAATGTAGATCAGCACCAAAGTGGAATCTGGAAAAAGCTACCAAGAGTGTCAGATCAGTAAACAATAGATTCTCTAGGCTCTGATGTAAAAACAGAAAAGTGGCCACCAACTTTGGATTAGTGACATTTGTATTTATGACAAATGATTGATTTAGTTGCCCTCTATTGTTTCCTTGTTGGCTTACAAATCTAGTGTTGATGGATTCCTATATCCTTAGAATTTCCCTGGATAAATGTTGTTTCACTAAAGAACATCAAAATACTAGATCAGCAGGACATATGTGGAAGGCAAACGTAAGGAAGGATGACTACACATTCCTTTTATTTTAAAGTGTGTTCTTCTCACCCACGTGGTCTAAAATATTTCAAACAAGTCATTATGAGTTATGATTTCTTCATCCTTGGGCAGGTGCCCGATAAAGCAAACTGACCGGAATGAGAGATCCCAGAAGGTCCAGGAACCAGCCTCTGTGTGGCAGGCCAGCTTCCTTGCCTTTATCTTCAATTGGGAGAAGAAAAGCTCCAAAAGATAGTGCCGTCAGCTCTGACAAGGTTTAGCTCATTTCTTTTTTAAAAAAGTATAGCAGTGACAACAGAACTGCAAGCCTGCAAAATACAGAAGCCTCCCAGGGTTTATGAGGGCTGAGCATCATAGCATTGTTATGAATTCTTTACTACTAATTGCAAATAAATCAGCAGTCGCCTTCAGCACCAATAACAGCATGAATATTTTATGCTATAGCATCCCTGACTGCAAGTTTAGTTTGTATCAACAGTTGGGGATGATACTTGAGACCACCATTCTACGTAACTTCCTACATCTATTTCTTGGTGTTTTTAGAGCTCACACAGAACATTATGTTCAGTGTTTGCATTTCACATCTCTATCTCTCGAAGGAAGACAGACAGATTGTAATGCTACCAACTTTTCTTTGGTAAAAATTAAGACAAGTTACATTTAGTGCTGTTTGATGGCCAGGTTGCAGCAATACATTAGAGAAGATAATTTTTAATTATCTTTTAGGAGGAATTTTTATTGATTCTGGCAAGAAATAACAGCCAGTAGCCTTTTTTCAGAAAAAAAAAAAAGTTTCGCTGTTGTGTGTTTTAACTTTGTTTATTATATTGTTTTGACATCCTGAAAAGCCTTTCTGGGTGGTGAGAAATTACTGTTCCTTGAGCTAGTCAACTCCAGAGAGAGCAAAGGACCTCGCCTGGAACATTGCGTTGATGTACAAATCAACCAATCTAAAGCCATACTTCCTCTGTCTGGCCCAAACACCCCAGAAGGCAATATTCCTCTGCCTTAGTCATCCCAAAGTCAGATGCCAAAAAATCAGGAACCGCCCCACAGCCCAAAGTCCACCAAAATTATACCTAGCCAATTCTACACTGTTCACCCTTCCCTGCCTTGCCTTTCCCAAAGAAACACCAGTAAAGGCTCTAGACTAACCCTCCCCTTCACTCCTGTCTTCTCTTTCCTAACCAATCTAGTTTCTTTCCCCTGTGGCCCTGTGTAGTGTGCCCTGCCTTCTGTCTCTATGACCTCTAAATATAATAAACTTTGTTTTATTCCTGAGCCTTTCCTCTGTCTCCTCTTGTGGCTGTATCTCAATGGCCATTTCATTAAACAAAATACCAAATATTTTCAAAATCCAAAACAAAAACACACCATTGTTGATAAAAATTAAAGAACATGTGTGATAGCAATAGAGACCCATAAAAGAGATATGATGTAGACAAGATGGAGAACTAGATGAAAAATTAAACCTGAAAACTTTTGGTCAAAGGATATTCAACATTTCCTAAGTATAAAGCCTGAGAATAAAGAATAATAAACTAAAAATTGATTATAACTCAAAACAATTTTATTTTTGTATTTAAATACCTTTATGGTAACTAACATTGGCAATGGTCAATTTTGATTATAAAGAAGTCCGTATGACAGCTTAATTATTTTGCAGAAAATATGGCCATTTCGAAAATCATTTTAAATAAGTTAAATTGGTCTTTATAATGTTTTTAAGCCATAAAGACAGTTCTTCTTTGTCTGTCATTAAAAGTAATTGGCTTATAAGATTTGGTTAATTTTTAAAAATATTATTAACATACACTACTGCTTTACAGGAGTGTATTTACCTCCTTGATCTATTGAAAACATTTTAGCCAGTTTAAGTTTAGGGTAAGTGTTTTAATCCCAGGGGTAGCCATAAGGAATTTAACTTCATCTCTCAAACAAAATGTGGATTTTTATCTAACAAAGGATGAAAATACAAGTTCTGTACTCACTGATTTTTGATCGTGAAGACAAAGAAAAAGTAGAATGAAGCCTGGGTAAGAGAGTTGAGAACAAAAGGAAAGTAATTTTAGATCAAATCCTTACACCTTCCTTTCTAAAACACTCTGGATAGAAAAATCTTCATCTTCACAACTTGCTTTCATAGGATTTTGAACTGAGGGACAATCACTCATTAGCCGATATTCACATTCTACTCATGGAAAACTTTCCTTTCCTTCCCTCATCTATACTCATATCATTCATATCAATATCATCCATCTGGCAAGTACTAATCTACTTATGCCACCTTCTGTGTTACTTCGATTGTCATATACCCACAAGACAGCAACGTAGTTTAGGAAGAACAAGCCAAGCCAAATCAGCTGTATTCACTGTTGACTGATCTATTTACCCCCTTGGTGAATCACAGCGTTCTATAAATACTATATATATTAATTTTGATAAAACTATTGACAAATGATCAAACCTCTTGTGGTTTATCTACCCACTCAAGTCCGTATGGTTTGGAAGGACCAAAAGGTTTTATATGCTAAAGCTATAATCCAAGTTGAATGGAAGAGGGATGGAATAGCCAATAACAGTCCATTTTCATGTCATAGGCAAGCTCGTGTATATATCTACTGACTGATATGTCTGTATTTCCTACATATTGGCTCTATTTCCAAGGCTGGGATAATGCCTGAGCCTATGGCTGAGGTTCCATAAGCTCTTTGCCGGATGAAAGAGATGCTTCTGTCCCGACCTCTGTACACTGTTTACTGGGAGGTAGAAAGCAGGACAAATCTAGCAAATGTTGAAGAAAGACTTGGAGGGAAATTTGATCCATAAACACTGAGAGACTTGTCTTACAGTTTATCGGGGAGTGACTCTGGATGAGACTTGTGGGAAGGTAAAGATATTTTGTAGGATATTTTGTAAGGTATTTTTAAAAAATCAGCCTGTGACCGATTTCAAATTGTGAGATTGACAGCATTATTCTTATATTACAAATAGACTGTCAGTAGGATTAACACAGTTTATCTGGGATAATTTAAATATTTTCTAAAAGCCTTTTTTCATTAGTTCGTCTGTGAAAATGTAATAGCTTATTTTTTATAATTTGTATTTCTAACTTGAAGTGACCAGAGGAGGGCAAAGAAATAATAAAATGTGGTGAAGATTTTTTCAAGTGTTATATCATCACTGAGCTCTTACAAGTGATCAAAGCCCTCTCTTTAGGGCCACTAACCCCTATTTATAATGAAATATAACCAGCAGATCAGTGCATGAATATTGTTTTCTTAGCCCCAGGAACAGCTGCCAGCATGACCAAAGTCTTTGCATTGAGGGTTCTTACTTTATCACATTTCCTGGACACGTTCAACTTTATCAGTAATGTCTATCACAGACCATGCAAAATAACAAAGGCAGAGATGAGTCTCCTGTTCTTTTTATAAAGTGATTTGGCATCAGATTGAAGGAAACAAAAATATTTCACCCCAAAATATACTTTGGCATATTTTGAGACGGCTGTTCAGAGGGCTAGCAAACAGAAGTAGCCCTGAAAACTGTCTCTGGGGTAGATCGGCATTCGTAGAGAAGATTTGCACTGATGGAGCTGGGCTTTCGCTGAGGCTTTCCCTTGTCCAGACTTAGAAAAGATTAACTGAGCTTCTGACACCTTTAAAAGTCTGAAAGGAACATTCACCATTGTCGATTCTCTCTGAGGGCTGCTACCTGTGAGATTTCATCTAAATAATAAGACCACCCACCTTTGCTAGCCAAGTGTCCTTTTCTTCCCCTCCCATAACCTGTTTTGCCATTCCAAGCCCCCATTCTTTCTGTAACCTCAAGATTGCATATAAGCTCCTGAACCCAATTGGGGAGCGGGGATAATCCCTCTTTGGTCCTCTCCCATGTTCCTGTAAATGAATATGTATGCCTTTTATTAATCTGCCTTATATGAGTTGATTTTTCAGTGAAACTTCAGAGGGCAAAGGAAAAGTTTTTCCCTTGGCCCTACAGTTTTGGCACTATGAGCATGATACCAAAGCTGTGCTTTTCTGAAAGCCACAGTTAAGGTAACCCAGGACTTGACATACCAGTAGACAGAGATTCAGTCAAGCAGAGGGAAAAAAATAATTGTCCCTTTTTGCTCTGCAAAATCTTGATTAATGAGAGAAAAGAATTTGAGTGATTATCTTCCATGTAGCAACTCGTGTACCTTCTGCTATGAATATTCATAAATTTTTGGTCCCTTTCCTCCTAGAAATAGTCTTGTCTTTGTCTTTCTGTGTTGTTTTGTCACAAAGAGGGTCACCACTTTGGGAGGTCAAGGTAGGATGACTGCTTGAGCCCAGGAGTTTAAAACCAGCCTGGGCAAGATGACAAGACCCTGTTTCTACAAAAAATTTAAAAATTAGCTGGGCACACTGGTGTGCACCTGTAGTCCCAGCTATGAAGGTAGGAGGATGGCTTGAGCCTAGGAATTCAAGGTGGCAGTGAACTATGATCATGTCACTGTGCTCCAGCCTGGGAAGCAAAACAAAAGTGAGATTCCATCTCTAAAGGAAAAAAAGAGGGGTAGCCTAGGGTAGAATGTGAGCCTAAAACCCCCATAAGTCTGTTATTCAAACCAGTCCTACAGACTGTTCAGTTTTGCAGTTCTGATCATACCAGCATCTATAAACTTTGCTGTGGGCAGCCAAAAAAAAAAAAGACACTGTTCTTTCTCATCTTATTTTATGTCACTGAGAGGTTGACTGGTGACCAAGTGGGAGCACACTCTCTTGGTTTCCACCGTGGAGGGGTTGGGATTGGGCCTGAAGCATGATTTTGAGGTCGTGTCAGCTGGCCAGTCTGAAAATGGTTGAGAACCCAAGATATATAAGATTTTAAGCAGCACACTTTTTGTCCTGAATGTGTAAACCTCTTGCAGGTGTTCATCTGAAGAAGTCTCATCCCTATGGGGCTTTTGTCATGTCAACCTTTGTTGTCTGGTTAGTGCTGGAAAAGTCCAATCCCGGGAGGCCTATCCTATGTCATAGATTAACAGATCTGTGACTGTAACTGCCCAAAAGTTTCTTCCTGCCTGCTGCACAAAGTCAACTCACTGAGACCGTGGCATTGCAGTAAAGAGCGAGCCTAAGTGATATGAAGCTGGCTATGCAACATGGGAGACAAAGTTTTTACTCAAATCAATCTCCCTGAAGGCTCAGAGGTTAAGATTTTTTCCAAGATAGTTTGGTGGGTAGGGGTCTAGGGTAGGGAGCGTGATGATTGGGTCAGAGATGAAATCATAGTGAACCTAAGCTGTCCTATTTTGCTGAGTCAGTTGCTGGGTGGGGGGTGGGGCACGGGACTGATTGGCAGGTCAAGGTGGGACCGTCTGGTTGTCAAAACTGCAGAAATGTGAAAAGATATCTCAAAAGGCCAATCTTAGATTCTACAACAGTGATCTTATCTGCAAGAGTAATTGGGGAAGTTGTGAATCCTACGGCCTCCGGAATAATGGCTGGTATTATTTAGAATTAAAGCCGTTCTCACCCTTCTAACTTAGTGGCCTTTCATTCGTTTCACAGCAACAGTTTAGTTTTTGGGAAGGGCTGTAGATGGCAGTGGTGGGCAATCCAGAGCAGCGGCTGCCATCGCTCCAGCTGCTGTGGGAAGGTGCGAGTGGTGGTGGCAGGAGCAGCTGCAGGAGCAGAAATGGCACTGATGGGTCCCCTGTGCCCCATGTCCCCAAGGCAGCTGACTGCACAGCCCCCACCCCCACGGGACCTGCTACCAGGCCTGGAGCCTCCACCACTCCGGACTCTGTTCCTGCGTCACCACTCTTGCCCACCACCTGCAGGGAGTGTGCAAGGAGGAGGCAGATCTGGGCCGCAGCTCGTGCAGCACTCCCCGGAGCCAGTGGGAGCCCCACCCCCGAGAGCCTGCTGCCCTGAGAGCTACTGTGATGGGGCTAGGCCAAGTCGCCCACTGGCAGGGGAACAGTGTGGTCGGGCTTGGAGGAGCGGACAGAAAGGGGCCCAGTGAGGACCTGGAGCCCCCACCCCAGGCTGAGAGGAGTCATGGCTGGGGCTGTAGCCCTGCCCTCCCTGTCGCAGGACCCAGGTGTCTCTGCACTCTGCACCCTTGGGGGCCTGAGAAGGCCGCCTTTACCCCCCAGGCTTGGGGCTGTCTGTTCTCTCCGTCTGGCCTCTCCTAGCTCCTGGCACCCACTGCAATATTGGAACAGGGTTGGGGCCAAGCCCGGGCTGTCACAGCCCAGCCAGGAGTACATACACTCAGGGCAGTGCTGACACGCCAGCAGACTTTGGCCCCCTCTAGACTTTGGGTGCTGACGAGCATGGGAGGAAGCCAAGGGAGGGCTGAGGGCAGCTCGGTGCTGGCCTGCTGGTGCCCCTCGGCATGAGCAGTCTGGGTGCCATGGACAGTGGCAGGAGGCAGACAGGCTCCTGGGCAGAAGGGGGTGGGTCCACGGTGAGGCCCCACCTTCAAGCCAGGAAGGGCCTGAAGGCTGGAGGCCAGGCTGCCAGTCCTGTGACCAGAGTGGAAACTTGTGGTGCCTTTTCCAGGCCCACCTATGGCCACCCATGGACCAATGCAGGCACACTTCCTCCACTCTGAGGATCATAAAAGCCCTGGGCTCAACCAGAGCAGAGCAGACAACAGGACGACCAGCTATAGACAGGAGCTACCCTCTCTGCTGAGAGTTATCAGGACACCCTGGCTACAAAGAGGAGCTGCCTACTGTGGGTCTCCTCTGAGCTTTTCTATTGTCAATAAAACTCCTTTTCATCTTGCTCACCCTCCACTTGTCTGCGCAACTTATTCTTCCTGGTTGCGGGACGAGAACTTGGGAACCAACAAATGGCGAGGCTAAAAGAGCTATAACACTAACAGTTGAAATATGACCCATTTGCCACATTGCAGGCAAAGGGAAGTAGAGAAGAGCTGTGACCCTTTGGGGATCCCAGACCTGGGAGCTTCAAGAGCCAGGGCTGTATCTCCCTCTTTGGGGCACTGCAGTTCCTGCCATCTCCAGTATTCCAGGTGACACCACATTCCCCAGTGCCAGCTGGGGAAACTGCCTGTGGTGCACCTGGTCCAGCTGCAGCCTTGCAGAGTACCGGTGCCCATGCTGGCACCTGGAGCTTCCTGCCCCATGGCAGCAGCTGGTGTGTCTGACTGTGTGCAGTGGCTGGACCCCATGCTCACTCCCACACCCCTTGGTGCTCCCTACCTGACTCACAGTCTCCCTTGGAGGCAGGGGGTTCAGGCCAGTAGTGTGAGCTGAGCAGTGTCTGCCAGGCTGAATGGGCAGAATGAGCCCAGCAGGCCTAAGCAAAACTTGGGCAAAAGTGCCACCGGCCACAGAGCTTCACAGTCATGAAAATGACACCCCAAAGATCCCATAACACTATTATTTAACTATAAACTAAATTTCTTCCCAAATTAGCTTGGTCCATGCCTAGGAATGAGCAAAGACAGCCACCCTGTGCTAGAAGCAAGATGGAGTCAGCCATGTCAAATTTCTCTTACTGTCATACTTTTGCAACAGCGGTTTCATTAGTGGCAGCACTCCACAAATTTGTAGGTTATCAGAGATGCTACACGCATACAAATGCCATACTTAACTGTCTGTGGCAACAGAAGACTTTGGCAATCTTAGCCTACTTCTGGGAGTAATTTTTTGGGGGAAAAATCATTAGGATTCCCTCTATGCCCTCTCCATTAAACCCGTTTTAACTTATTTTATACCTGGAAAATTACATCATGGGCTTTCCATGAAAAGGCTATTAGGCTGCTATTAGAACAAGTACACCAGTAAAAATCCTAATCATCAGTGACCAAAAGGTGAATCTGTTAAATTAAAAAGAAGCCTAAATTAAAACTATATATAATACACACACACATATATATACAAATATACACATATATATATACACACATATATACACACACACACACACACACACACATATATATATATATATATATACACACATACACATATTAGCAATCTCATTCAAAACAATTGCCTTATTTGTATTTATGGGAAGATCAAATTAAAAGAAAGACACATAATAATGTAATGGTTAGCCTTAGAAACTATCTTGACCAAGTTAAAGAGCAAAAATCTGACCTAAAACAAAGTTAAAATCCTTTGTATATTCAGACAGCCTACTTAGAATCTCCTGCAGGATTCACAGTGAAGTCTACTCCACATTGCAGTAGATTTGAAAGAATTTCTTTTAGAACGCTATAGGGTCATAAGTCAGCTTAATTAAAAGCTGATAGTCAAGATATCACCACTGATCCCACAGAAATACAAAATACCATCAGAGAATATTATAAACACCTCTACGCAAATAAACTAGAAAATCTAGAAGAAATGGATAAATTCCTGGACATATACGCCCTCCCAAGACTAAACCAGGAAAAAGTCAAATCACTGAATAAACAAATAACAAGTTCTGAAATTGAGGCAGTAATTAATAGCCTACCACCCAAAAAAAAAAACCCAAGACCAGGAGGATTCACAGCCAAATTCTACCAGAGGTAAAAAGAGGAGCTGGTACCATTTCTTCTGAAACTATTCCAAACAATTGAAAAAGAGGGAATCTTCCCTAACTCATTTTATGAGGCCAGCATCATCCTGATACCAAAACCTGACAGAGACACAACAAAAAAGGAAAATTTCAAGCCAATATCCCTGATGAACATCGGTATGAAAATCCTCAATAAAATACTGGCAAACCAAATCCAGCAGCACATCAAAAAGCTTATCCACCAGGATCAAGTCAGCTTCATCCCTGGGATGCAAGGCTGGTTCAACATATGCAAATCAATAAAAATAATTCATCACATAAACAGAACCAATGACAAAAACCACATGATTATCTCAATAGATGCTGAAAAGGCCTTTGATAAAATTCCACACCCTTCATGCTAAAAACTCTCAATAAACTAGGTATTGATGGAATGTATCTCAAAATAATAAGAGCTATTTATGACAGACTCACAGCCAATATCATACTGAATGGGCAAAAGCTGGAAGCATTCCCTTTGAAAACTGGCACAAGACAAGGATGCCTTCTCTCACGACTCTTATTCAACATAGTATTGGAAGTGCTGGCCAGGGCAATCAGGCAAGAGAAAAAAATAAAGGGTATTCAAATAGGAAGAAAGGAAGCAAATTGTCTGTTTGCAGATGACATGATTGTGTATTTAGAAAACCCCATAGTCTCAGCCCAAAATCTCCTTAAGCTGATAAGCAACTTCAGCAAAGTCTCCGGATACAAAATCAATGTGCGAAAATCATAAGCATTCCTATACACAAATAATAGACAAAGAGCCAAATCATGAGTGAACTCTCATTCAAAATTGCTACAAAGAGAGTAAAATACCTAGTAATACAACTTACAAGGGATGTGAAGGACCTCTTCAAGGAGGACTACAAACCACTGCTCAAGGAAATAAGAGAGGACACAAACGGAAAAACATTCCATGCTCATGGATAGGAAGAATCAATATTGTGAAAATGGCCATACTGCCCAAAGTAATTTATAGATTCAATGCTGTCCCCATCAAGCAACCATTGACTTTCTTCAAAGAGTTAGAAAAAAACTTTATATTTCATATGGAACCAAAAAAGAACCCCTTTAGCCAAGACAATCCTAAGCAAAAGGAACAAAGCTGGAGACATCATGCTACCTGACTTGAAATTATCCTGTAAGGCTACAGTAACCAAAACAGCATGGTACTGATACCAAACAGATATATAGATCAATGGAACAGAACACTGGCCTCAGAAATAACACCACACATCTACAACCTTCTGATCTTTAAGAAACCTAACGAAAACAAGCAGTGCGGAAAGGATTCCTTATTTAATAAATAGCATTGGGAAAATCAGCTAGCCATATGCAGAAAACTGAAACTGGACCCCTTCCTTACACCTTATACAAAAATTAACTCAAAGATGGATTAAATATTTAAATGTAAGACCTAAAACCATAAAAACCCTAGAAGAAAACCCAGGCAATACCATTCAGGACATAGGAATGGGCAAAGACTTCATAACCACCAAAAGCAATGGCAACAAAGGCCAAAATTGACAAATTCCCTCTAATTAAACTAAATAGTTTCTGCGCAGCAAAAGAAACTCTCATCAGAGTGAACAGGGTATTCGAATAGGAAGAAAGGAAGCCAAGTTGTCTCTGTTTGCATGCTGAACCTACAGAATGGGAGAAAAATTTTGCAATCTATCTGTCTGACAAAGGGCTAATATCCAGAATCTACAAGGAACTTAAACAAATTTACAAGAAAAAAACAACCCCATCATAAAGTGGGTGAAGGGTATGAACAGACCCTTCTCAAAAGAAAACATTTAGGCGGCTATCAAACATAAAAAAAAAAAAGCTCATCATCACTGGTCATTAGAGAAATACTAATAAATACTAATCAAAACCACAATGAGATACCATCTCATGCCAGTTAGAATGGCGATCATTAAAAAGTCAGGAAACAACTGATGCTGGAGAGGATGTGGAAAAGTAGGAACACTTTTACACTATTGGTGGGAGTGTAAATTAGTTCAACCATTGTGGAAGACAGTGTGGCGATTCCTCAAGGATCTAGAACCAGAAATACCATCTGATCCAGCAATCCTATTACTGGGTATATACCCAAAGGATTATAAATCATTCTACTATAAAGACACATGCACAGGTATGTTTATTGTGGCACTATTCACAATAGCAAAGACTTGGAACCAACCCAAATGCCCATCAATGATAGACTGGATAAAGAAAACGTGGCACATATATACCATGGAATACTATACAGCCATAAGAAAGGGTGAGTTCAGGCGGGTGTGGTGGCTCACACCTGTAATCCCAGCACTTTGGGAGGCCAAGGCGGGAGGATCACGAGGTCAGGAGATCAAGACCATCCTGGCAAACACAATGAAACCCCATCTATACTAAAAATACAAAAAATTAGCCAGGCGTGGTGGCAGGCACCTGTAGTCCTAGCTACTCAGGAGGCTGAGGCAGGAGAATGGCGTGAACCTGGGAGGCAGAGCTGGCAGTGAGCCAAGATCATGCCACTGCACTCCAGGCTGGGCCACAGAGTGAGACTCCGTCTCAATAAAAATAAAATAAAAAAAGGATGAGTTCATATCCTTTGCAGGGACATGGATGAAGCTGGAAACCATCATTCTCAGCAAACTAACACAAGAAGAGAAAACCAAACACCACATGTTCTCACTCATAAGTTGAACAATGAAAACACATGGACACACGGAGGGGAACAACACACACTGGGGCCTGTTGGGGGGATTGGGGGCTGGGGAAGGATAGCATTAGGAGAAATACCTAATGTAGTTGTTGTTGATAGGTTGATGGGTTCAGCAAACCACCATGGCACCTATGTATACCTATGTAACGTGTGTATACCCATGTAACAAACCTGCACATATATCCCAGAACTCAAAGTATAATACAAAATTAAATTAAAAAAAGAAAATGGAAACTATGTTAAAAAGCCACCTATCAAACTAGATTGGTCTCCAAAATATGACTTTCTTGCATTTAGCTCATTATTTTGTGAAGGTTTCTGAACTTTCTCTAGGTTCATCTGTGTGTTTCCTTGTAAAATACTGTGATAAATTCTTATGATTTTATGTTACCTTAGCATCCATTTTTAATCTTCCTCTAACACACCCAGACTTCTTGAAAAAGCTTAAAATCTCTCTATGCTTTCAAATGTAAATTTGCTACCCTGTTTTCTCTGAAATTTAGTAAAGGCTTTGAACATGTGGAAGAAATAAATTTTAAGTTGTTCCACTTACAGAGATACAGTTTTAATCCAACTGCCCTTTTAAACTAGTGAGTTTTACCTGACTCATGGCTAAAAATTTAAAAATTAAAGCTATAAGATCTTTATGTCTGTATTTTTGTATATACATGTCTATTTGTATATTGTCTACCTGGTAGCAAATTGACTTATAAATGACCACTCATAATTTAAGTAAATAAACCTAAATGCTTTTTAAGTTTGCATTACTTTAGCAGTCTTCTGGTAAATAATACTAGTTTAATATTGTTAGCTTAATAAAGTAAGTCTGCTGAGTTATCAATGAAATATGTATGTTTCTAACTTTAAGGTCCTTTAAGGTCCTTGCTTTTATGATACTTGCCTAACAGACAGTAATACAAAAATGATTAATAGAAAATTTAATTTGAGATGATGGCTAGATTTGTCTTATGAAATTTACCAAACATAGTTGTTAAAAATAGATTAAATAGCTGTAAATGAGATAAACATTCATAAATACACTTTTAATAAAAGTTATGTTTTATAATATATTTACTTAAAAAGGTTTCTCAAAATTTTTTGGTAACTATGCACTTAGAGTTTAAGCTAAATTAAATGATGAATAATCATTGAATATCTAGATCATTTCCAAATAAGATATAATGCTAAGACATTAATTACTAAATATGAGTTTAAGCTCATATGCTTTTGGCTTTTTTCTTAAAAACAAAAGTTATGTAGGTCTGCTAGTAAATATGTCCTGTTCCATATAGAAAAATTGTTCTATAGAAAGCTTATGCTTTTAAAACTTATACGATATGTATTTATAAATTGTTAGTACATGACTGACAGTTAAAATTACTTATTTCCTAGGTTTTCACTGAAAATTAGGGTTATGGGAGTCAACACTGATTAATATGTATGATTAAAACTACTAGATACAAGAGAAACAATTCTGTATGCAAAGTGTATAAGAAAAGTGAGATGTATTTTCGGTAAGAAATGTTATAAGAAAGCATGAGAATGTGGTTTTCATTAAGGGAATAGTAATTCTGGCTAAAGGTTTTTAAAAGTTGTTGTAAATTGTATTTAAGAAATAAAGAATAGATGAAACTGGATGAATATAAAAAGGGAAAGAAAGAAAATAGGAAAAATTGTAAGAGGTTATAAAATGTTTATGAATATCTTCTCTGGTCAAAGCTAATTGAAATAAATTTTATTAAAATTAGCCTTAGCATTAATAATATACTGATGGAAAGGTAGAATTTAGGTTTCTCCTTGGAACAAGATATTTGTGTAGCATTAACAAGACATAGTAAAATATTTCTATCTATCTTTTAAGTAAACTAAAGAAATAAAAGAGAGGGAAGAACTCAAGGGAAAGATTCCGTTGATCTCATATTTTCTTTATTCCATCTTTTGATTATTTGGAAACCTGATTCTCCTCTCTGTAAAAGAGTAAGTGTTTTTGATTTTTGAATTTTTTTTAATTTTTTTAGTTATATATTTTTTTGGAGACAACAGTCTTGCTCTGTTGCCCAGGCTGAAGTGCAGTGGCGCAATCTCAACTCACTGCAACCTCCCTCTCCTGGGTTTAAGTGATTCTCCTGCCTCAACCTCCCAAGTAGCTGGAACTACAGGCACGTGCCACCATGCCCGGCTAATTTTTGTATTTTTAGTAGAGATGGGGTTTCAGCATACAGGCTGGTCTCCAACTCTTGATCTCAGGTGATCCACCTGCCTCAGCCTCCCAAAGTGTTGGGATTACAGGTGTGAGCCATAACACCCGGCCGGAATATTTTTTTTTAATTATCACTTTAGCTAAATGATTAACTATTATTTTACAGTGACCGGTGATCCTATTTTCATCAAGTATTTTTAACTTTCCTTATTTTGATATGAAGTGTTTTAAACCTTTGATATTTGACGAACTTCCATATTTAATTTCGAATCTAAAATTGTCTTTTTGACCTTGAATTAACTTTTGGAAATTCCAAAAAGAACTCCTGGAAGCCCAAGAGGAACATACGAGGTTTATCTGGTATGTAAAAATCATATGGAAAGCATTGTCAAAATATGGAGTTAACTTTATTCAAGTTATATTTCTATAAACATGTTATTAATGTGTTCTAATACTGTATGAGATTCCTAAAATTCTGATATGTTATCAGTCACAATTATGATTATGTTAAATTGTCGTATGCCATGATACAACAAAGTTTCCTTGTCAGTTGTATCTTTACCCGTGGCTATTCTAAGTCTTTTATCATTCACAGAAAATTATTGCTTTAATTTTTCTCAAAATTCCATTTACAATCAGCTACAGTCCAAAATTTGCTTCTTCAATAAATTTTACAGAATGTACCCTGAAATACTCTTGAATACAGGCTTCTGATAACTTTGGAGATCTTGTCATTAGACCCATGTAAAACCTTCCAGGGCTCTATTTTAAAAGCTGACGTAATCATAAATATTGCTAACCCAACAGCAAGCAGAATAAGTTAATTACGTGGTCCTGAACTGACATAGGACTTAAACGCTTTTTTTAAATGATTTTTGTTTGGAATATTAATGATTCTTTTTTATATTTTGTTTTCCAGAGTCAAGAATTATTTCTTTATAGCTTACAACAATTGGGTGCTCTATACTCTTGTGGGCAAAACTGAAATATTTACCCTTCTATCTACATGATTTCTCCAAAATTTGGAAACTATTCATGAACATTCCTATTTTATGGTAATATCGTTGTTTACATAGGTTCCACAAGAATCAGTTTCTTCTGTAAGAGGACACACTTGTGGGTACTAGTTATTTTACCAAGGCTTTGACTGGTAATGGCTTTGACTGTAATGGCTTATTTTCAGATACGACCAGACTGCTTTGAGGAATTGAAGTTGACTTTATAGAGCCAATAAAAAGCTCCTTGGAAAGGCTGGCCTGGTACCTTGTCTACATTGTTTCCGTACAAGGTTCCTGACCTTGCAAGTAAGAATGTCACTTTCTGACAGGCCCAGGAACCTCAAGATATTTTGAAACCTCTAGAAAACAGAAATTCACTCAATTCATGTAAGTGTTACGGGCACAGTCTGATGCCAAATACTTAGCTTGGCTTTATAGACTTTAGAGGCTTTTAAAAGTCTAACCTGAGATTTGTTATGAAAAAGTCACAGTGAAGCCAAAATTTTTTTTTTTTTTTTTTTTGAAATGGATTCAGATTCTCGCTTTGTCATCCAGGCTGGAGTGCAGTGGTGAGATCCCAGCTCACTGCAACCTCCGCCCGCAGGTTCTAGGTATATCTCCTGCCTCGGCCTCCTGAGCAGCTGGGACTACAGGCACATGTCACCACACCTGGCACCTGGCTCACTTTCTGTATTTTTAGTAGAGATGGGGTTCCACCGTGTTAGCCAGGATGGTCTCGGTCTCCTGACCTCGTGATCTGCCTGCCTCAGCCTCCCAGAGTGCTGGGATTACAGGCATGAAGCACAGCGCCCGGCTAGCAAAGCCAACTTTTAAAGAACCTATATGGCCAATCACTATTCTTGCTATACTCTATGCAAATAATAAGGCTGAGTATTCTAAGACTAAAATTTATTTTGCAAACAAATGGTCTTACTACACATGATTTGTCTTTGGTAGAAAAGGGGAACCGGAGGAGAAATTATGTTTCAAAAGAAAACTGTAGTACATATGTTTTTAGATTCTAGCCCTGCCCATTGTTTTGGAGGTTTTTTTATTTGTCTATAATTTGAACTGAATCCTGAATTACTTCCTGGCTACAAGTGTCCAAACTAATGTTTTCAAATTTTTCTCCCATTTTTCTGCCTTAGAATCACTTAAAACCAAAAACTGTGCTTTTCTTGAAGCTCTGCACACTGAAGCTACACAACTTGATATAAATGTTGGGAGAAATCACCGGAGCAACTTATATATAAGCAGCTTTTGTGCCAGCTGATGTATGAACTACTTATAAAGTTCACTTGAACACCTGATTTAAACTACAATCCAGAAACATTGCCACTGCCATCTGAAGATGCATTAGACACTCTAGAAAAACAAATCTACAGACCACTCCAGATATTAACCTTTGTTTTTCTTAGTTTCCATAGAAATGCCTCTTATTAGAGATGGATTTGCTGCATCCTATATAGACGTCTAGCCCATTGGCAATGCACCTGCTAGAATGGAAAACAGCTGTAGCTGATCTACTCTCTGGACTACAAAACTGATTCAAGATGATATGGAATAATGTATTTATTTATTTATTTATTTATCTTTTTGCTTATCCTAGTTTGTCTTCCCCTTCCTTTGCCTATCTAATCTAAGAACCTCTAACCCAAATTTCTCCAAAGCTACCAATTTGCCTTTTTATGTATGTAATTTTTTGAAGTTTCAAAGTAGGAACTGAAATAAACCAAAATAATTTACCCCAAAATATACTTTGGCCTGTTTTGAGATGGCTGTTCAGAGGGCCTGCAAACAGAAGTAGCCTTGAAAATTGTCTTCATGGGGCAGAAGAGCATATGTAGAGAAAACCTGCATTGATGGAGCCAGGCTTTCTCTAGTCCAGATTTAGAAAAGATTAACTGAATATCTGATACCTTTAAAGGTCTTAAAGAAACATTCACCATCTATTTGATCTCATCTGCAAAACAAGACCTTTTGCTATCCAGGCCTCCTCTTCCCTGGTCCCCTCATGTGTTTTACCACTATAGCCTATTTTGCCATGATCCAAGCACCCATTCTTGCTGTAACCTCAAGATTGTATACGAGCTTCTGAATCCTACTGGGGAATAGAAGCAATCCCTCTGTGGTCCTCCGCATGTGTATGTTCATAAATATGTATGCCTTTTTTTCAATGAATCTTCTTTTTGTCAGTTGATTTCTCAGTGAAACTTCAGAAGGTGAAGAGAAAGTCTTCCCCTGGCCTCTACAGGATCAATCCACCATTAGTCCTCAACAAAGCATCAGATAACAGGATTAGCAAGTCAAGCTCTCATAACAACTAGTTTTGTGATCTTAGGGACAGCCACATTACCACTATGGGCCATTATTTTAAATTATAATTTTAATTTTTTTTTTGCAGAGACAGGGTCTATGTTGCCCAGGCTGTTCTCAAACTCCTGGGTTCAAGTAATTGTCATCTTGGCCTCCCAAAGTGCTGGGATGGCAGGCATGAGCCAATGGGCCATTTTTTTAACATCACTAATATATGAAAAGTAAGATTATATTTGCCCTATTTTACTGGTTTGTCATGGTGACTTATTGACATTAATGCATAGTGGTGCTTTCTTGAGAATGGAACTTTAATCATGGAAAGTCCTTGGCTTTTGAACTTTGGCTTCCCTGAAACTCCAGAAAAGCAAGCAAACATTGCTGCCCCATTCCAGGGGCCTGCACACAAATGACCCACTCTTCAGCTGGAATCCTCCTCTACTGTGATGTGACATTCCACAGAAGGGATACAAGAAGGCTCACATCTTATACCTTCACTGTTTTTCCTTTCAGTTTGAACTCCCCCATGGGGTTGCCTTTTCCAGCATGGTTTTCCACATGGCTATTTAATTACAGGTTGGCTTCTAAACTCTCTTGGTTTCAAGCCTCAGAAAGGTCAGGTTGCAGATACACGGGGGACCCAGAAGACCCTTCAATGCCAGGAGAAGCTCAAAAAAGGAGCTAGGAAAGCCTGGGAGAATTGTATGCCTCTACTAAAGTAATATGTCTTAATATCCTAGGGCAGTCCTGAGCACCCACCCACAACCAAGTAGACACATGCTTCTGTGTGTTGTGAGTTCCAAATAAAATCTCCTCCTAACTGAGTACTGCTGGAATTGTTGAAATGCTTTCTCCTCTCGATTTACTCTACCAGTACTGCTGTTACTGCTGCTGCTGCTGCTTACAATGATCTACAAATTGAGCATGGGAGCTGACAGTCCTGATTTCTAATACCATTTCAAGAATTTCTTTGAGGCTTGAGAAAGCAATACTCCATTTCTCCATCTGTAAAATGGGCGTGCTAGCCTTCCTTCCTACAGCGCAGTCTTCAGAAAGACTGAAAGTGATTGCTGTATGCAGTAAATGTCAACTACTGCATGAACAGACAATGCATGATTCTCGCTATCTAAACTTCATGGAAAACAACAATAATTGTTTTGACTAGAAAATCAGGATGAGGTTCCAGCAATGAACATATTTGGGTAAACGAGCTGAAGTCATTTTAATTCCCCCTTTCCAGTGGCATTAATTTCCAAATATTCTTTTAACCAAATAATGAAATGATTTTTCTTCTTTTGAAAAACTCACGACCAACAGTTAGTTTAAAAAGGGAGTTCTAATTATGAGGAGATTATTATTTTCTCATTTGCACAGATTTGGCTCATTAGAGCTGTAATCCTTTTTCCTCAGCCCACAGACTGACAGCGACCTTTTTCTACAATTCCAAGAGAAAACTTGACTATTCAAACAAAAGTTCAAATCACAGTGATTGGAAGGGTTGGCCAATATGGTGTTTAATAAAAACAACCACCAGAGAAGAGATCAATTCTCACATTCCATTTGAGGGCCTCATTAGTGATTATTCACAGAAGTCACTGGGCTTATCTTGGTGGCCTCATAAAAATATGATGTTAAATTCGAATTACCCTATATAACATCATGGTGTCTAGACAGCCAAATTCAAATGACATTCAGTTTATAGTTTTCTAATCTCTCCAAGTGCTTCAGTGGGTCATTTGTACAATTGAATCTTAATGGTTAGAAATTAAATTAGAAAGAAAATATGCATCATATTTTCTACTGCACTAAAATGAAACTTTTTTTCCCTAGTTAAGTGGACCATCTTTCTCTTTTGGATATTTAACAAGAAAAAAAGAACTAATTTAATGGAGTGAGCTCATTAATGCTACTCTTGCCCATCCATTAGCATGTATCTTTAGAGCAAGGATAGCAAAATGTTACCCAAACATGTCTGCAGCCTGAATTTACTAAAAGCACTCTCCTCTCAGATTCACGCCATTAGGCATTTACTTAGTGTTTGTTTTTACCAGAGTATTGAATCTATTTAAGAAGGAATATACATGATATTATTTTTTTACCATTTTTTTTCCAAAATGGAAAAGTAAACCACATGTAATGGTGATGGATCAGTTAAACAGCAAAATACTTATGAAGCAGAAAAGCTAAAAGAAGAGAATGTGGATCTGCTTATACATATAGAATTTAACCCATCAGCTTAAAGCTGAGACCCACACTCATAGCCTAGAGAAAAAGAATTGTCAAGGAGCACTGGAATTTCATATTGAAAATTCATACCTAATTTGTTGTATAACAGTTACTTCTAATTTGTGGGCCAAGGAGGGAACTCTGGTGCGTACATGGAGCATGTTTTAGAGTCATGCAAAGGAGTCGTTAAATCAATATGCATGCTGACTATTGTAACAAAGCTATTAACATGCTTTTCAAAAAACAGACGTTTCAGATCATTTTTCAAGAATATAAAGATTCCATTATGACTAACAAAATTCTAATTAAAAGTTGTAGTGAATTCATAATATATATTGCCATTTTGTTTTCTTTTTTTTTTTTTTTTTTGAGATGGAGTCTTGCTCTGTCGCCCAGGCTGGAGTGCAGTGGCGCAATCCCGGCTCACTGCAAGCTCCGCCTCCCGGGTTCACGCCATCCTCCAGCCTCAGCTTCCGGAGTAGCTGGAACTACAGGTGCCCGCCACCACGCCCGGCTATTTTTTTGTATTTTTTAGTAGAGACGGTGTTTCACCGTGTTAGCCAGGATGGTCTTGATCTCCTGACCTCGTGAAACGCCCGCCTCGGCCTCCCAAAGTGCTGAGATTACAGGCGTGAGCCACCGCGCCCGGCCTTGCTCTCTTAATTAGCTATGAAGAGTAATTCTATCATCTTAAGTTCCATAAACATCTTAAAAAGACATCTTCATAAATAGAATAATGAAATTATCTATCTATATTCACATATACATACACACACGTATTTAAATTAACTTACTTATTCAAGGCATGCAACTGTATTTCTAACAGACATTGACTTAAATTATTTAAACAAGGAGTTGTGTTATTTGAATTGAATCATAATCACCTTTATTCATTATTAAACAAGCCACCATAAGAATTTAGACTCTAATGGCGGGGCGCGGTGGCTCACGCCTGTAATCCCAGCACTTTGGGAGGCCGAGGCAGGTGGATCACCTGAGGTCAGGGTTTCAAAACCAACCTGGCCAACATGGCAAAACCCCGTCTCTACTAAAAATAAAAAATCAGCCGAGCATGGTGGCACGTGCCTGTAATCCCAGCTACTTAGGAAGCTGAGGCAGGAGAACTGCATGAACCCAGGAAGCAGAGGTTGCAGTGAGCCGAAATCGCACCATTGTACTCCAGTCTGGGCAACAAGAGCAAAACTCCATCTCAAAAAAAAAAAAAAAAAAAGAATTTATACGCTAATGTTTTAAGTCACCTGTCACCATCCTTATGACCATTTGGGCAGATTATGTAGATGCCCCTCTAACAATATCACATTGCTCAGGCTTATTAACTTTAACTGTGCAAGGTACAAGTGATTATTTCTATTTTACAAATAAGAAAACTGAAGCTAGAGTGGATCATGAGCATTTTGCCTTTCTCTCTGGTATCAAATACTTGGTAAAGCTAGAAGTGAACTTGCAACTATTGTTTCCAAAGTATGTGTGTAGTCTTTGTACCACATCACGGTCATGTCCTTATCGACAAAATACGGCATTATGTTATTAATTAAAACAGCATTTTAAAACCTTATAAAGCTATACGGAAACCTAAGACGTTTTGTTTACTATTACATCTGTGAATATAGAAAATACAGGGAGAAAATAAGTAATGTCAAAACAATCTACTCTTTTACCCTAAGTCTTACTCCGCATTCAGATCAAATTATTGGAAGTGCCATACTTTGTTGAAGATGCTCTAAGTAGAAATGAAAACTTGGGATAAGGAGAAAAAGTAAATAGAAACTGGAAATAGTGGGGACTGATCGGGAGGCTGGAAAGCACTAGAACCTGGGAGACAGGAGAACTGAGAACAGATGAGGATGGTTAGGCTATTCACACAAGAGCTCCCTATAGTGTTACAAGAAGCCGAAGACACCCAGAACTTGTGGTTCACCTGGTTTCAAGGACTTTATGCAACATAACTCTTGATTCCACTGTCAGCAACAGAGTGTAGAGGCTGCTTAGACTGCAGGTCTGACCCTGGAAGCTTTTCTGACAGTTTCACTTAGGAAGCTCAGGTCATGGCTCTCATTCCTGTGGGGGCCAATTATCTCTTCTCTGACAAACACAGACACAGTCAGTCCTTGGGAGGCCTCTCTGAAGGCATGCCCAATGTTAATGGGTCAGTGGAAACACCTTTGGATATGAAGACACCAAAGATTTCTTTTCTGGAATTACATATAGCCCCAAACCCTGCTGGCGGGCTTTCTGTGATGGATAACTAATAAACAACTTCTGTACAAGCAAGTGCTTACAAGGCGATTCTATTTTCTCAAGCTCACAGTCAGTTAAAAACAGAAAAGAATAGTTACCTGTGGCATGTCTAGGGTGCATGTGAGTCTAGCAAGTAAATCAACTATTTTAGATGAAGGATGCCTGGTTAATTATTAAATGATTTGATACTTACTTTCAAAATATTTTTTTATCTAAGAGGAAAACATGGAGAGAGGGAAGTCCACACAATCTTCATGGTAGGTTTACTCCTGGTAGGTTTACTTTAAGGTAGGTTTACTCTTCATTTAGAATTTTTCATAAACCTGAGAAATATTAATTCCTCTATCTCCATCTTCCCCATCTCGTCTCACAGAAATACCCAGCCAAACCTTCAAATAATTCCTCCAATAATTAGAAAGGCATTTTAGAAACTATCTGCATTTACCCAATCACTGAATAAAAAAAAATAAATGGGCCTTGAATAAATGAGAGGTTATACTTTGCCTTCATGATGCAAAATAGAATCAAAAGAAGTCAAAACTGCTTGTATATTTGCAGTGTTAACTGTGCTTTCCAGTGGTCTGGGATGTGGCATTACAGACATCAAGCAGATAAAATAGCCTCATCTATACTTATGACATCTATTAAAATTCATTCTGCCATATAGCCTAATGTTCAACATTCCTACTTTACAGTTGAAGAAACCAGTAAACTGAAGTCAAGAAAAGCTATTTGCCAAAAACTGAGTGGCTAATGATCTGTAGAGTGGGAATTGAGACCAAAATTCTTTGCTGGTAGTGCTTTGAATATCAACTATGACTCCTGCCTCTCCTCATTTACACAAAACCCTGAAGGCTGGGACTCCTACCCCGAAGTTAGGCAGGCAGGCTTCATCTGTCTGCGACATCTTGCTCATCAGTTGTAAAAATCATCATTTTTGCATGTTGGGTTATCTCTACCCTATCTGCTCACAAGACCTGTGGTCTTGGTCCCTGACCTAGGAACAGTGAGAGCCTGAAGTAGTGAAACATTAGACAGACACTCTGTTTCCAGGACCTCAGAGTCCTGCCACTTACTATTGTGTGCAAATTACTTGTTTCCTGTGTCAATCATCCAGATTCCTGGAGGTAAACAGAGAACAGAGAAATCGTGACAGCATCATTGGAGACCTCCCAACCTCACCTCTACCATGGATTAAATCCATCTATTTGGTTTTCCTGATGAAATCAGAACATCTGGTTTTTCTGCTAGTTTCACACCTGAAAAGTGTACCGTTTCATAAAATGGTTGTGAAATTTAATGTAGTATGAAAAGTTGGTCAATACGCTGTATTGTAACAAACATGTAATGAACAGAAACTAATGTTGCCTCCTTCAGCCTGCTTTCCAACTATTTTGAGACAGGATGGTCTTACGACTTCTTCTATTTGGTTATTCACTTCTTCATTTGAAATGGCTTACAGAAGATTTATCCTGTGCCCAGCTCTGTGCCAGGCACTAAACTTCTGAACCTGACCATCTGCTTTGTGGCCTGTGAAAGCAACATGAGATTCGCAAATTAAATACTCTCCCCTCCAAGGGCTTTTGTCTCTATTCAAACTCCCTGTCACTGTGTCTCGTTGTCCCACCCTAACATTTGATCTTAGGAGTGGAATTGAACAATTAATATAAAAATCAAGCTAAATTATATTATAAAATGAGGAAAGCAAGGCAGAAACTTTGGGGGAAAATGAATGGATTATGTCAAGAGGTAGAAATTTTAACTATAGAAAAATCGCCAAAATAACCTCTACTCATTTCTATAATCACTTACTTATTAGCTGGAACCACTAACAGTACCTGCTTCATACTGCAGCTGGGTAGACCAAATGAGATACTAAATATGTAATTTCCATAGTAAGAATTTAATAAATGCTGATTTTTCAACAATGGCAACTATCATCCATATTATCTGAATGTTCATATGCCTGTTATTTATGTGGCTTGGAGAATAAGAAGTTTCCAGTGTTCAACAAATGCCCATCTAAGCACTGTAACTACATAAAAATAATAACCTGATGTCTCCTGAATTCTTCGGTTAAAATAAATTTTAACCAAATTTTAACCAAATAGACACTTGGTAAGTGTCTATTTAACATTCATGGACAAACTGGGTTTGATACATAATCAACATCTCTAGAAATAAACAAAACATTTTCACCTTGTATTGATTTACCTATTTTCATAGAACATTAGAAAATTATCCTAAAGTATATTGGCTGCTCAGATATTTTGTTTTTTGTTTTTCAGTTTTCAAAATCGTGTTACTCTTGATTTGCTGCAAATGCAGTTTTTTAAAGAGAAACAGATGGATGAAAGTTAAATAACAATCATCTCATCTTTTTAAAGTAAACCTTTAAGTCTATAATTTGGGAATCTCGTGTTGCTTTCACAGGCCACCCTTAAAAAGTAATATGCAAAAAATAAAAATGATAGCTAGAGAGTATATTGATGCAATATCCTTGTGTCAATAATAGTACCAATCCTAGAAATAAAATACATTGATTTTTATTTCTTCTCTTGATATGCCTTTAAGCCTAGTAAGATAAACTGAAGATGTTACCAAAATTTATTTTTATAATTCAGCCTTTTAGATAGGATGCCAATTTTAAGTTAAACTTGTATTATACTTGTACTAGAATTGCTATTGAAATTTGGAAAAATAAAATCTATTTTGAATAGCTGAAGGATGTGTGCTTGTGTTATATGTATGTTTCATGTATATAAAGCTATATTCAATGTTCTATCCACAGTAAGTTAGTGAAGTATCACCTGTCTCAACTTATAAGATGATTATCTGGTGTCTGGTCAAAACCCACTGGTAAGATCATAATTGCAGTAAAGGTTGTTTAAACAGCAATTCCCATATCCTTGTCCATAATTTTGAAATTTACATTTCTTTCAATATCCAGCAGCTAGAATAAGGTCTAGCATGGAAAAGGTGCTCAATAATTATATTTCAGATGGATGCTACTCTTCTAGCATGTCTATTTAGCTTTAGCTGAGCTTCAGAATTAGACTTGACATTGTTCATTTCAGGCTCCTTCTTAAACTCAATTTGCTATTTGTTTGGAAAAGAAGAGCAGACTAGGAGGGCTAAGGGAATTTTGGTTTTCAGGAAATGATAAATGGAATAACCCAAAGGGAAACAACATACAAACTTTTTGACTAGATTTTTAACCAAATATTTTTCTGGAGGCCAGAGATTACAAACTCAGTATGAAAGAAAAGGGAGTGATGGAGACTGTGGTTTATTGCAGTTTTCATGTGATGCCTCAAGTCATTCACAAACAGAATTAAGTAGGCTGTTTGGGAATTCTATTGTCTGAAAAACTCTTTCGCTTTATGACAAACTATTTTCTGGAGTAAGTCTTAAACACTTTTAAGAAAATGTGTATCATATTTAATAAATTTGACTAAAATTGAATAAACACCAAGAATGATCCATGAATGAGATACAAAAATAGGATAAAATAGAGCAACATAATCTTAAAAGAGCTAAAAATATTGTAAGTTTCAAATTCTATTCTCAACCTACTGTGAAGAATATTTTGGTGAGGTCACCTCACTTTGAAGAAAAAGACAAGTATACATCGTAAGATACTGGTAGACTATGAATGTGTTATTAATTATAATTATCTACTTACTGACTTTTTAGCAATTTTGAAGAATACAAATACCGTTTAATTGTTCATTAATAGAAACATAAGAACTTTCAAAAAGGTAATATCGAAGCTGTAAAACACTGACTTTATTAATACAGAAAAGATAAAAAGACAAATTAAACCCAGTTGTGGTGGTAATTAATTTACCTGACGGAACCTGGTTAAACAGCCCTCTAGATTTACAATGCATTCAATAACACATAAAATAAAATCTGACCCTAAATATGATTTTACATTTTCTTAGAAAAACACAATAGGACTCCAAAGTATATGTATTACAGTGTCATTTATTGAACTACTTTTATTCAAGTTCTTTGGTGAAATCATTATAAAAATTACTGGGGGGTGAATGTGTAATTCCAGTTACAGGACAAGTAGAATAGGTGTTCCCCAAGGAATAAGTGGGGAAAAAAACTGTCAAGGAGGCATTAATCTTTGTCTTTTCAAGATGCTACACAATGTTCATTACACATTGTAGTCATACGTTCACTTAGAGCAAATAGTAAATCAGAAATGAGATTACATAATAAAGCAGAACTTTACTGTACAAGCAGAGCTAATAATGGATTTTTCCCTCTATGACAAGATCAACCAATGGGATGGCATGTTTAAAAATCAGCTGTAATACACCAGTTAAAAATACAGTTGGGGGAGAGACTTCAATGCATATATTTCTGAGAAATGTTTCCGAAAAGTTAAAGCTAATTGCTGAACTCATTATGCTGCTCTTGAATTTCTTATACACAAACGATGTGCTTCCAGATTAATTAACTTTACTTCCGAAGAACTGGGAGTGATTCCAAATTTTGACTGATTATTCCACTTCCACAGAAAATATTCCTTTAAGCTCTGCCCTTGGGCACATGATGTTAGAGCTACTTTCATAGGGTATAAGTAGAAATGCAGAAATAAATCTGTAGCTTAACAGCCTCGGGATGGTAAAAAAATACTTCTTGACCATCCAAAACTGATTTGAAGACTCAAAATCATACGAACCCCACCAACTATCAAGGTGCTGTAACCTCTAGTTCTCTTTGCTTCCAATTTTATTTTACCCAGAAGCAATAGTTTTCTCTCATGACCTGGGGCATTTTTGTCGTGGCTTATAAGACATTATTTCTGGGCTTGGATGTTTTTCTTTTTTACCTCCAAAATCCAGTAAAGTGGAAAAGCCCATGTACTCTCTCTGCTAAGCCTCCTAAATGTGAACACTGAAATCAAAAGTTCATTTCACTAGCTAGTACATAAGAAATCTATGTCCCTTTGGCTCCTTTGTCTGTTATGAAATTGTATGCTAGATTTTCTGTGCTAAAAAATGAAGAAGCATTCTAATAAATAATCATGTTATAAAGGCTACTTTTTATGAACTTTGGTGCTCGGGGCATATTCTGTTGCCAATGATGCTTTATTAAAACAAAGCTGAGATTCTGTTTTGGAAATAGGTACAAAAGATGCTATATTGCCTGTGAATTTTTGTGTTTTGTTGTTTCCAATACTCTCTTCTTGCCCTATACCAGGTTAACAGTTGCTGGATTTAATCTCAGCTGCTCAGCTAGGGGCACTATTCCCATCCATGATTATGAGTAAAGTTTTCCCTGTAGAGTTAGAGAAGGAGAAACAAAACTGATCAATTCCATCCACTGTTGGCAAGGTTTGTGAAAGAGACTGGCAGGGAATCAGTCTTTGTTTTAAGCAGGAAAGGCATTCCTGCTGATTTTCAAGGGGAAACAACACATAATTAACTGAGGTAGGCATGACCTAGGGCAGATGGAAACAGCAGTCCAGTAGAAAGGATACTATGTAGAATAAAGGTTCCTGCTGGACAGTACTAATTCTGGGAATTAGAAAAACCTGAGAAAGCCTTTTCCCAACTATATGATTTTCAACTTAGTGAATCTGTTTACATACCTCCTAGAACGAACACACACACACACACACAGAGTAGGTTGAAACTGATTGCAAAATATAAAAGGAATTCAGCAGCAGGAAGAAGAAAATACAATAATAGTGTTTCAGGCTCAGTAATATCTAAGATTTTCTGAGAGTTTAGATGGGCATTATTTTATTTCATGTTTGCAACATCTGAGGTACACACTGTCAATGCTGCCTTTTTAAAAATAAGAAAACTGAATCATAAAGAAGTTGCTGAATGTGCTGAGATTACACTAAGTTGCCAAACAAGGTATTTGAACACGAATACATGGATAAATGGAACTGAATTAAAAGTCTAAAAATCACTTAACATAAATGGAAAAATATGTCTTATCTTAAACCATTAGAGAAAGATGGATAATTCCATAAATGTTGTTGGGTCAACTGGATAGTTATGTGAAAAAATATTAGTAAAGTCAGAGCCTGACTACAATCAATAAGACAGGATAAATTTTAATGGATAAAATATATGAAGACAACTGTAAATAAACATGCGAAACTCCAAAGCCATTACTCCAATTACTTACATTAAGTAAATATAAGTAAATAAAAATCCAAATAATTCTATGGGAAAAAAATACGAAAGTTTGATATGATTCCAAAATGCATTATTTTAAACCACCAAAATGTGTGTCCTTTGTCCCAAAAGTAACTACTTACTGACATAAATTAATTTGGTGATGAGAAGTAAAAATCAAAAACATTAGAAAAGTCGGCCGGGCATGGTAGCACACGCCTGTAATCCCAACACTTTGGGAGGCCGAGGTGGGCAAATCACCTGGGGTCAGAAGTTTGAGACTAGCCTGGCCAACATGGCAAAACCCCATCTTTACCAAATATATATATAAAATAGCTGGGCATGGTGGCAGATGCCTGTTATCTCAGCACTCCGGAGGCTGGGGCAGGAGAATCTATCGAACCTGGGAGGCGGAGGTTGCAGTGAGCTGAGATTGCACCACTGCACTCCAGCCTGGGCAACAGAGTGAGAATCTTTCTCAAAAAAAAAAAAAAAAAAAAATTAGAAAAGTCAAATCAATGAACCTTTTCCTGTTTTTCCTCTGAAGTACAGAATAAAAGCTACCTTCCTGGTTTTACTATGTCCAGGTAATTTATCAGACTTAAATAATCAATAGGCACAAACTGATGTCAATTCATACAACTAGATTCAAAATACCAAAACTGGAGAAACCAGAGATTACTATATCCTACTCATATTTTACAGATGAGAGAAATGGTAAGTGACCTACTCAAAGTTACAAGGCTAATAAATCCTTAAGTTATACCATTCAACTAGGGTACGTCTCTTTCAGATTGCTTCACACTAGCCAGTGGAAGGAACTGTTTTGTAGTTGGAGTAATAAACCTTGATCCAATGGTCTAACCAGGAAACTAATAGTCAGAGGATGTATCAAGCTTTTTCTTTTTGTATTTTTAGTCTCAATTGAAGAATTGACCCAATTGGGAGTATGTGTCTTGGAGGGAGGGAACGTGGTTACAGAGACGAAGTGATGGTACGATCTTTATATACTCATAGAACCGTCGTTTGGCTAGCAGATGCAAAGTTTGATGGCTTTATGATTTCCAACTGAGTAACTTAATGCATCATTATTATGCTGTTTGCTAAAATAATGAAATATATTTGTTCTGATGATCAGATAGCTACCGTTCTGAGCCCTTGAGTGTTGTGATGTTCAAGCACACTCATCCCTCCATGAGCCACCTGAAAATCCAGCAACCAATGGGTCAAGGTGGTTTCCAGATTCTACTCCAACACAATGGCTGATGCTGATTCTAATGGGTCAGTGCTTATGCTTTACAGATTGTCCAACATTTTGACCTTAACTTCTGGGTATGTAAATTCAAATATAAGTGTGAAACACAGAGATTAATACAAGAAGAAAATGGCTAAGTAGCAAAACTTTCAAACCAAGTCTAAATTGAGAATATAAAACATGTTTCTAGGTGTATGTTACAGGAAGGGATTTTACATAAGGAATAGACGAAAAGAGAATAACAACGGGCTCCAAATTGAAAGCCCATCTCAGTAGAAAGCGTTCCATTTAAAAATGGATTCATTCTACCTGTAAGGTCAGGACTCCACAACATAACACTTACATATTGAAGTCAGGCAGGCTGACTTCTTACTGCACAGTGAGTCTGAATCCATGAAATATTCCCTATATTTGCACTGACAGCCCCAGCTCCATGTGCTCGCCCCCTGCCTGAACCATCCACTTCTTGCACAGATTTCTGGTGAATATCCATCACATAATCTCCATGGTTATTGAACTCCTGTTGGAAGTCTTTCTCCACCACTACTTTTTCCAGTTGAAGCTCAGTCATCAACATTCTCCTTTTTCTTAGTTTAAAAAGAATAGGGTCAGACCTGACACACCATTTCTGAAAGCTCCCAATCTCTGCGAGAGACACCAAGACAAGTATCCCCAAGTGTGTGTGTGTGTGTGTGTGTGTGTGTGTGTGTGTGTGTGTGTTTGGAGTGGCAGAAGGGGGAGATAGAAGAGGAGGAGGAAGCAGTTAAATCTGAATTTTTTTTTTCTCTTTGAGACAGGGTCTCAATCTTTTGCCCAGGCTGTAGTGTAGTGACTCAATTTCAGCTCACTGCAGCCTCAGCCTTCTGGCTCAAGCAATCCTCCTACCTCAGACTCCCCAGTAGCTGACAATACATTTTGGCACCACCGTGCCTGGCTAATTTCTGTATTTTTGTGGAGAAAGCATTCGCCATGTTGCCCGGGCTCGTCTGGAACTCCTGAGCTCATGAAATCTGCCTGCGTCAGCTTCCCAAAGTGCAGGGATTACAGGCATGTGCCACCATGCCTGGCTGAAGCTGAATTCCTTGAGGCTCAGAACTTCTTCATTAAACTCTTTCCCTTTCATAGTACTGTAGCCCATAAGGAGAAATTTAACGGTACTTTTCTTTGGTCCATGCTTCCTGTGAGAGGAGTTCATAGTGTAGAGGAATGTATTAACTGCTGGAAATCAATGAAATCCTTGTAAAGGAAAACTGAAATAGATGTTAACTATGCCATTTACCATTGCTTCTATTAAACAAAAAACTGGAAGAACATTAGACTGAGGCAACCCCAGTGCCTTGGATCCTTACATAAGCACACTGAAGCTCCATGTACACAGTAAAAGGAAACTTAAGTATAATCAATCAGAAACAACAAACTAACCTCTAAGGAGGGACTTTCCCCCAGATCACACACAAATAAGGTAAATACCTAGCAGTAGCCAATCAAGTAATGTCTGTACTTGACTTCTCAGGCTGCTGAAGCAGAGCTTTCTAAACCTTGTTCAGTTTCTGAGTGTGCCCTGATCCATGACTTGATCTTTACTCAAATAAATGCTGTTAAATTTAATTTGCCTGAAGTTTTTCTTCTAAAACTTCTATTAAAGAGTTAATGTTCATGGCTCTATTCTATGCCCTATGATGGAGGAGCAATCTTTTACATGGTACCTTGAACTTGGGCATGATCCCTGAGGCCTCCCACTGTTTTCAGGAGGCTGTGCCTTACCTGATGCTGGTGCCAGGTTTGCAGCCTCTAATTGTTTAGAGGTTTTCATGGTCTTTTTCCTAAGAGATCTGGTTGTATTGCTATTGGGATCATTATTATCCTCTCAGGGGGGCCATGGCTGTGCTTTTGAGCCATTGCTAGGCATTGCATTATGATGGCTTTTTCTCTTTGATCGAGAATTGCTGAGATCATCCAGTGGGATAATTACATTAACTTTTACTATCTTTCACATTTTAAATTGTGTCAATATAAAGCTTTGAGAGTAGCTACAGGGGTCTCAGGGAGGAGTTCACTGAAGTGAAGTAAGCTGATTGGGCAGCTCAGTCTTCTTTAAGATGTATTGCCTTTTCCTGGTAACACATGGGAAAATATTCTTGGAAATTGTTCTCAGATCTCTCCTAAGGGCTGCTTTTAAACCTTATGTTTTGTCCTCTCTCTGTCTGTCTTTTCCCAAGGGATCTGAAATGCATCTCAGTGAGTTCATTTTTCACTGACATCTTGTCAAGACGGAGGTCAGATGTTAGCACAGATGAATACCTCTTGGACAGGTCTTTGCATTGTGTTAGGCAGAAAACTGCCTATCTTTAATGGCAAATTCTTCTCCTTCCTTTACCAAAGAATATTTCCCATAGTTGTTTCATGGACTATACTGACTATAAAGCACAAATCCAGAGCCATTCATTCAGAACTTCTTGTCCAGAGACTTTTGATGGTCAAAATCAGATCTTCACTCATTGACATCACTGGGTGACAAACATCAAAGAGGAAGCCCTACCTTTCTCTAAGTTCACAAGACTGGTCATGAATAAAAGAAGCAATATAGTCAGTCTTTAGAGAATGACTTTTAGTTTTAACTCTACATAGATCTCTTTATCTTTGTACTAGTTCATATGTATTTGTGTCACTTCTTTTTTTGTAACTCACAGATAATACTGATCTACATAATCCAGCATGATTTCCAGCATATGGTATGACCTCAACATATATTAGATAAATGAATAAAATAATGTATACCATGATGAGTCACTGAGGAAATGGTTGCAAACTCCTTTGGAATTTAACACATGGTAATACTGGAGTTACAAGGCCAATTACTATGTGTGTGGAAAACATACAAGAGGATCATGTATTAATGAGACCAAGGTAAAGATGATTTTCCTAAATGGAGGTTAACCCTCTTAAAGAGTGCTTACCCAGGGCCCAGCTCACATCTATATCTATCTATCTGTCTGTCTGTCTGTCTGCCTATCTATGTATCTACCTATCTATCAATCAATCATCCTTCTTAACAGACACTGGTTCATCTAATGATGCATTTGCCTAACTAGGCATTCCTGAAGCCCAGAGGAGATTGGGCACAGTAGATATGGAGGTGAGGATGTTATCTGACCAGTCCTATATTCCAAGCAATATTCTATGTATTTTGTCTCTGTTATGTGGATTAATTCTCACAATGACCCTATGGGGTGTTCACATTATTGACAAGAAAATTGGGCAAAGAGAGATCAATTCTCTTGCCTAGGGTCATAAAATTGGTAGATAGTAGACCTAAGTCATTACGTCTGACTTCAAAAAAGCGATGTTTATCAGCATCATACTATATCATGCTAATAATTTTCTAAGGAGGATTAAAGTTGTATATAAAAACTCACCCCCTGAAAAATGAGTCAGCCCACAGTGGGTCCCCTCTTCCCTACATATTTCCTGTTCTTTTCTGGTGCTAGTCCTCAAATAATAGGAAAATATTTAATATGTGTTCTAGCAATCTGCTCCTGACAACTGGGTTAAATTTGGCATCATAAGCAGTTGACACAATTATGACCAGCATGTGTTTAATTGTTAGTGGGGTTTTAATAGGCAGTGAGTGATGAAAAGATGCTGAATACAATATATGTTTTTAAAAATAATGATGTGAGATTTACTTTCACTTGTAAAGGAAAAATACAAAATTATGTTTGAAAGGAAACAACGGGGTTTAAGGCATTAAGAGTTATTGCACACATTTAATTATGAGTTTTAATAATTTGTGTAAAATTATGTTTTTCTTTACAATGCAGTACTTTTTATATTAAAATAATTTTGTGCAAAAATGGTCATTTCTAGGGTATCTTTAAACTTCAATCTTTGTATTTCTCTGCTTGATGCAAGGATCAGACCTGCCTTGAGCTTTCACCAGGTTCTGCTTCTCTAGCATCCAAATATAGGTAGGTATAGATGTCATCTTCTGGAAGAAGGCTTCTCTACTTAGCAGGTAACAAAGGTAAAAAAATTATTCATATACCCTTAAAGCTAAATCATCCTTGAATTCTTTAGTAATTAGCAAAATCTTGTTAATCCTTTGCATAAACACAGTCTAGTTGTATTTTTAATACATTTAACTAATAATTTGTTTCAAATATATGCAAAAAAAGATACAAGTTCTTGCTATACACTTTTCTTTCTCTAGGACCTCTTCCTAAATCTTACTATCCATACAGTAAAGGCTGTAACATTTATAACTCAAATCCTGACCTTACACATGAATACCAGACTTCATCTGATTAGCTACTTGACATTCCCACTGGGAAATCTAAAAAGCACCTAAATTAGTAACCAAGTTCAAAATAGAATGATCGATTTCTCCGAACTTGCTTCTCTTCAAGTTTTTCTCATCTCAGCTAGTGAAACTAAGCCAGATGCTAAAGACAAAAACCTAGGAATTACCCTCAATTATTTTTTTCCTTCATTCCTGGATCCTAGGTTGCAGGTCCCTGTTAGGAAAGCATGAAAGGAGATTTTTGTTCAAATAACTTATTAGGGACCACTCTATTTCAATGGTTCTCAACTTGAGCATGCATCAAAATCACCTGGAGGGCTTGTTAGAACACAAAGTCCTGGACCCCATCATCTCCAGAATTTCTGATTAAGTAAGAGTGATGGTTAATTTTATGTGTCAGCTCAACTAGGCCATGTGATGCACACAAACTTGGTTAAACATTATTTCAGGGTGTCTATGAGGGTGTTTCCAGAAGAGCTTAGCATTTGAATTGGAGAGAGTGAGCAGATGACCCTCCCCAATTGGGCTAGCATCATCTAATCCATTAAGGGCCTTAATAGAACAAAAAGAAGTAAGAAGGTTGAAGATTCTTTCTACCTGACTGACAAGTTGGTACATCAATCTCCTACCTCAATGTTCCTGATTCTCAGGCCTTCAGACTAAATGAATAGCTTTCCAGGTCTCCAACTTGAAGACAGTGTGTCATGGGACTTCTCAGCCTCCATAATCAAGTGAACAATACCTTATAGTAAAGCTCTGTCTCTGCTCTCCTACTATGTATATATGTTTCTAAAAATAATCATGTGAGATTTACTTTCCCTTACTAAACTCATGACTAAAGGAAAAACAAGAAATTATGTTTGAAAGGAAGCAATGGTATTTAAGGCATTAACAGTTACTGTACACATTCAATGATAAGTTTTGATAATTTGATTGTATAAAACTAAATTTTCTTTACAATGCAATACTTTTTATGGTCATTAAAATAGTTTCATTGATATATATGTATATATATATATATATGCGCAAAAATTGTCATTTCTGGAATATCCTCAAACTTTAATCTTTGTATTTTTCTGTTTGATATATCTCATATTTGTTCCGGTTGTCAGTTATAGTATTAACATGTTACTAAGTGATATTGATGATACTCTTTCCAGGACCACACTTCCAGAAACATTGCCTTATGGAGAAAGGGGATGAAAGAAGATGGATGGGAGGAGGGGGGAATGGCAAAAATGTTGTTCAGATGGAAACGAGTGATTGACAGAGGCAGCTGTAAGCTTTTGCCAGCCAGCACTCCCAACAACTACAGGATGACTCTCCAGCCAGCAAAGTGGGTCTGGACAGGTCACCAATAGCACCCACTATACCCAGTGAACCTATTTTTTTTCAGACAGCCTTTTCAAATACAATTCCAGAATAGGTCCTGAATCTCACTACTTCTCACTACATGTACTGGTACCATCCCAGTTCATTGTCACTTCTCAGCAGATGGCAATTCCTTTCTCGGACAGAATGCCTTTTACAGTGTTTTATCTAAAAGCAGGAGCCAAATTCCTGGTATTCAATTTAGGATCTGCTAGTGGAAATACTTAGAGACATTTTAGTTTAAAAAGTTTCAGCTGCAAGTTCAAGGTCAATGTCTAAAACAGACCTGATAAAATAGCCTTGTAACTGGTCTAGTCTTACTCTCCTACAATGCACTCTACATGCATTAGTCAGAGTGTTGTTTTTTTTTTAAGCAGAAAACAAGTTATGTCACCTCTGATTCTCCATGTACTTAGAAGAAAATCAAACCATGATTCCACAGCCAACAAGGTCCCAGATTTTTCTGGCTGAAGGCATTTGCAACTTTCTATTTCTTCTTCTTAAAAGCTTTTCCTCCACCATCACTCCAAGTCTTACCATTACCTTTCCTACTCTGAGATACAGATGAATGACTACTTCTCCTCATTCAAGTCTCAACCTGAATGCCTTTTTCACGGAGACCTGCAGAGATCATTCTACCTAAATCAGCTTCCACACCCAGTCATTGTATCATATTTTCCTGCTTTTTTTTTTCATCATAGCATCTAACCTTTCAGAAGGTAGCAGGTTTATTTATGTTTCCCTGTTTATCATTTCTCCTTCCTGAGAATATGAGTTCTACAAATTCAGACTTCATTTTGTAGTTCACTGCTGTGTTTCCTGCACCTGGAAGAATGTGTTTGGCACATTGCAGATGTTGGACAAGAACTTTTGAATAAATATGTTAATGATGTTCATGGTTTAAATAAGAATAATATTTTACTTTTTAGCCTCCAATTGTTCTACTTGCGATAGCCAGATAGCCAGATTTTTAGTCATTTTATTTTAGGCCCTGCGTGAGCAGTTTGGACTAGAAGGATCCCAAGAACCAATCTGATGATGACTTTAGTCAAAGTAATCAGCATAGTTCATACTGGGACAGTTTCGTTAGGTTAATGAACACATCTGTATTTTGACAGCTGGACCATCCATGAAAAAAATACCAAGCTGATTAGTTTGATCAAAGTTACACTTAGAATGGTTCTACAAATATTGGTGTTACTGAGAATGCAGGCACCAGATCATATTAATGCCTGAATACTAGTAAATCAGAAAATCAATCTAAGCAAACAGTATTGGTATCATTTCTCTAGTTAAAGCAATCCCTGTCTCATGGTGATAGACCATGAGACTATGATTGGAAAAATCAAAGGAAAGCATCAGATAAAATGTTTGTTCAGATAACAGAGCAGACTGTGTCCAGAAAGAACTCAAAATCATATAGGATTGGAATGCAAGAAAGCTTCTGGGGAACATCAAGGAATTGAACAGTTGGGCAATGAAATGTGACCAATAAGAAGTTACCCCTTTAGACAGGCTTCAGTGGTTCTTGGTCTCCAGACCCCCAGCTTCAGCATCAACATCTGCACCCCCTGGGAGCCTTCTAGAAATGTTAAGTAACTGGGGCCCACTGGAGAACTAATGAACGAGAAACCTTGCGTATAGGGCAGGTGATTCCTATGCTCACTCAAGTTTGAGGACCACTGGGCTAGAGCCAATCCATTGGCCTGTAGTGGGAAGAAGTGAACTATGTTTTATTTAAAGGTATCTGCAACTGGAAGTGCAAGGTATGAAATGAAATGAGTCTGACACTCAGCTTCCAACTAACCAGTCTTCAACAAAATACTTTGTCTACCTATTTTATTTTCCATGTCTAAACAAAATGTAACACCTAATCCACACCATCACAGGTACTGTTGCACAAACTGAAGGTGAAAAGGCACTGCAGAAAAGCACAGACTCTCAGAATGAAGATACAATTCAGGGAGATGTGTTAAATTTTGCTCTTAGAATAAATTTCTAAGCAATCATAACCTGTTTTGCCAAGTGAAGAAGCTTTACCTGAATTGCCTTAAATATGTATTTAATAATATTCAGCAATGTTGTCAAGAAGAGGGCTGGTGGGGAGGAGCTCAGTTTCTTAGGGAACACCAATACACTCATCAATCTGCCTAGTCGTGCAATCATTTCCTGTAATGAGAGGACTGTAATTGTCACTCACGATGACTTGACGCGTCACTGCTGATTAGTACTGGAGACAAAGATGTCTCAGGAGCAAAGTGAGACAAAGATCACCTTATCCAGTCTTTGCTTGCTTCATGCCTAATTAGGTGGGTAGCTGCAACCTTTTATTGTGATAAATGATGACTCCAGCACGCACATGCACACAAACATACTTGAACATGCACACATACACGTGCAAACACTTCATCACCTTAATAGAAAACTTCTGTGTCAATTAAAAACAAAGTCATTTCATTTTCATGTATTATTGAATAGGTTGATTCATTTGTATAATTTCTCCTACTAAGTAAAACGTTTTTATAGGACTTGTAATATGGTTAAGTAAATGTCCAAGTTCTTTTGCCTTTCAGCTCTACAATGTGGCCTAAACTCTAAAGTTATTTTTTTTCCTGTGATTGCTCCACATGTCCTCTGCTTCAGTCAAGGTAAATTTGTTATCTTCTACTAAATAAAAATAACATTGATTTCCATCTTTACTCAAGCTGTTTTCTTTTCCCAGAACCAGCTTAAATCCCTTCTTTTCACTTCCTCCCAAATCACCTATCTTCTAAGATCCTCTTCAAATTCTAACTCAATTTCCATTTTCTCCCAAAGTGTTGGTAAACTATTTTAGTTCGTGTTTCCATTTTATGAACTCCTATGAAATTCACTGTTGTCCTGGCTCATTGGCCATTTATAAAATAATATAAAAGCCAAAAATAATTTGCATTATCACATGCTGTTGCAACCATTTCTCCAAGTTCTTTTAGTTTAAAGAACATGATTTATGCTTCATTCCCATGTTCCAAATATCTGGTTCATAGTAAGAATTGAGTAAATACTTATTATTGTTTAATACTTATTATTACTTGATGATTTAAAATGAGGATAGAATAATAATCGATTTCTTACCATAAAAATTAAGTTTTCTTTTTCTTCTTCCCCTCCCCCACCACACCCCGGCATCTTCTAGGGGAAAGACACAGCCAGTACAATCACTGACATTGTGTACAACTGTAGAATTTTTTCATACTAATACATGCAAGTATTATCCTGAACAATTGTAAAAATCTGTTAGTCACCAGAATGTGATTCAAATATGTTCAGTATATCTTACTTTCTAAGACAAGAAAATAGAGCCATATATTTCAATTAAAAATGTCAACATAAAATATTCTTGGTAGAACAAAAAATTCATAATATAAAAGTATAATACCCCCTCTAAAGCCTCAAATAAAAATTTTATAAAGTTTAAAAATAAGGACAAATAGAGAGTGCTCCTTCAAAATTGTAGATGAACAATTTAATAAACAGAGTGATATCGTTTGGCTGCGTCCTCACCCAAATCTTAGTTTGAATCCCCATGTGTCATGTGAGGAGCCAGGTGGAGATAATTGAATCATGGGGGTGGTTTCCCCACCCTGTTCTCGTGATAGTGAGTTAGCTCTCATGAGATCTGATGGTTTTATAAAGGGCTTCCCCCTTCACTGGGCATTCATTTTTTTCCTTCCTGCCACCATGTGAAGAAGGATGTATTTGCTTCCCCTTCTGCCATGATTGTAAGTTTCCCAAAGCCTCCCCAGTCCTGCAGAACTGTGAGTCAATTAAATCTCTTTCCTTTGTAAATTACCCAGTCCCGGGCAGATCTTTATAGAAGCATGAGAATGGACTAATACAGTAAATTGGTATCATAAATAAGGTGCAGCTATTATAATGATACTGAAAATGTGGAAGTAACGTTAGAACTGGGTAAGAGGCAGAGATTGGAACAGTTTGGAGGGCTCGGAAGACAGGAAAATATGGGAAAGTTTGGAACTTCCTAGAGACTTGTTGAATGGCTTTGACCAAAATGCTGACAGTGATAGGGACCAATGAAGTCCAAGCTGAGGTGATCTCAGATGGAGATGGAGAACTTATTGGGAACTGGAGTAAAGGTCACTCTCGTTATGCAAAGAGACTGGTGGCATTTTGTCCCTGCCCTAGAGATCTGTGGAGTTTTGAACTTGAGAGAGATGATTTTAGGGTATCTGGCAGAAGAAATTTCTAAGCTGCAAAGCATTCAAGAACAGCAGAGCATAAAAGTTTGGAAAAGTTGCAGCCTGCCAATGCAACAGAAATTAACAACCCATTTTCTGGGGAGAAATTCAAGCCAGCCATGGAAATTTGCCTAAGTAACAAGGAGCTGAATGTTAATCATCAACACAATGGGAAAAGTGTCTCCAGAGCATGTCAGAGACTTCACAGCAGATCCTACCATCACAGGCTTGGAGGCCTAGGAGGAAAATATGGTTTCAAGGGCCCAACCCAGAGCCCCTCCTGCTGTGTGCAGCCTAGGGACTTGGTGCCCTGTTTCCCAGACACTCCAGCCATGGTCAAAAGGGGCTACGGTACAGCTTGGGCCATGGCATCAGAATATGCAAGCCCCAAGCCTTGGCAGCTTCCATGTGTTGTTGAGCCAGTGGGTGCATAGAAGTCAAGAATTGAGGTTTGGAAAGCTCTGCCTGTATTTCAGAAGATATATGGAGACACCTGGATGTTCAGGTAGAAGTTTCCTGCAAAGGCAGAGCCCTATGGAGAACTTCTGCTAGGGCAGTATAGAAGGGAAATGTGGAGTTGGAACCCTGCAAACAGAGTCTCCAGTGGGGCACTGCCTAGTGGAACCATGAGAAGAGGGCCACCATCCTCCAGACCCCATGACAGCATGCACTGTGCACCTGGAAGAGCCACTGGCACTCAATGCCAGCCCATGAAAGCAGCCAGGAGGGGGCTGTGCCCTGCAAAGCCACAGCAGTAGAGCTGCCCAAGGCCATGGAAGCCCACCTCTTGCATCAGCAAGACCTGCACGTGAGACATGGAGTCAAAGGAGATCATTCTGGAACCTTAAGGTTTAATGACTGCCCTGTTGGATTTCAGACTTGCATGGAGACTGTAGCTCCTTTGTTTTGGCCACTTTCTCCCATTTGGAACAGGTGTATTTACCCAATGCCTGTACCCACATTGTATCTAGGAAGTAACCAACTTGCTTTTGATTTTGCAAGCTCAGAGGTGGAAGGGACTTGCCTTACCTCAGATGAGACTTTGGACTTGAACTTTTGAGTTAATGTTAAAATGAGTTAAGACTTTGGGAGACTGTTGGAAGGGCATGATTGTGTTTTGAATTGTGAGGACATGAAATTTGAGAGGAACCAGGGGAAGAATTATATGGTTTGGCTATGTCCCTATGCAAATCTCATCTTGTAGTTCCCATAATCCCATGTCATGAAAGGGACCAGGTGGAGATAACTGAATCATGGGAGCATTTTCCCCCATCCTGTTCTCATGATAGTGCACAAGTTCTCATGAGATCTGATGGCTTTATAACAGGCTTCCCCCTTCACTGGGCACTCATTAGCCTCCTTCCTGCTGCCATGTGAAGAAGGACATGTTTGCTTCCCATTCTGCCATAATTGTAAGTTTCCTGAGGCCTCCCTTGTGAGTCAATTAAACCTTTTTCCTTTATAAATTACTCAGTCTCGGATATTTTTCCATAGCAGCATAAGAATGGAGTAAACAAAAGGATAACAAATTTTATTTTTTCTCATGGTGCCATCTGAATCTTTTTGAAATATTTTTAAATGTTATGCCTAGGTGAAAAGATTTTTTAAAAATAAAATGCGTATCAAAGAAGTTTTTGTCAATAAATGTTACTTTTGAATCATTTTCATTAAAAATCAGTTTTGAATTCATTTAAAGGAATGGAAATATACCTTAAAATACACATTATATATGGATATATAGATATCTCTATACAAACTGAGAGTTATTTTAAGTGAATTTACTCTGAAGCCATTTCAATTTGCTAAAGTGAAGATTCTTTGAAGCTGTAAATTTTAGTTGCGTGGTCAAAATTATAGACCTGAAATAGGATCGTATGATATAACAAAAATCAAAACAAAATCTGTCTCCTGAAAATATTCAGTCATATTTCCTTCAACATTTTCAATGCAGTGAAATCAGCAGTAGTTTAACTCCTGAGCAAAACAAATGTCTATCAGCAATATTTTCCCTATTTAAAATCCATGCTTTACAATTTGTATAAAAAATGAGTTTGAAAGTCAAGGGAAAAAAATAGAAAGTAAATTACTTTGAAATGGTTGGGCATCTTGAGTGGTGTTTTAAAATTGAATTATTCTTGTGTTTGGAAAACAAAGAGGATTGTAATATAAATTGTTTTTCTCCCAGAAATTTCTTTCAGGATTTATGGCAACAACCAGTTTATCCATGGCCATACGTGGCATTGTGTTAAATAACACACTACTCTCACTTTATGAATTACAAAACACCCATGGAATGTTAAATAACCTAAATTCAATCGTGTATATCAGTGAATTACTAAAGTGCATTTAAAAAGCTGTTTGCCTATGAAAACATGTAAAATAAGACATTTAAGAAAATGCAAATTGTTCAACTTCATAGAATTCCTACAAAAGAAGAAATAGTTTAATATCGAGCAGTAACATGAAAAGATCAAATATATACATATATGTCCAATATACATATACATATATAGTGTATGCACACACATAAACACATATAGTAGTTAATTGTACCAGTCATTTTTTTCCAACAAGAAAACTTACCTTTTTTGCCTTTCTGAAGTATATTAAATGCATTGGATAATTATAAATTACTCATCTAATCACAAGGAAGACCACAGAGAATTAAAAAAATGGTGTCACTAAGAAAACATATTTCTTTTCTAATTTTTCAAATAATTTTGATAAGCTTTGATTCTAAGCAGTAAATGGTTCTGTAAAATAAGGTCATATATTTTTCAAATTTTTTTACAAATATTTTGGTGTAGAAGGCACACATTAGCTTGTGTGCTTTTATAAGTGTTAGAAATTAAGATGTTCAGTAACACCCCAGACGAGCTCACCATGCAATCCTTAGGCACACAAAAAGTTCGGAAACGTTGCCTGGGATTAGTGGTTCTCAAGTTTCAGTGAATATCAGACTCACCCAGAGGACTTGTGACAGCAGATTGCTGAGTCCCATCCCAGAGTCCCTGATTTAGTAAATTTAAAGTAGAAACTTCTAGCAAGTTCCCAAACAATGCTAAGGTTTCTGGTCTGGAGCCACCACATTTTGAGAATCACCACTACAATCCTTATTAAATGTTGTATGTTTCCGTTAAGATATGAGATGAATTGGACTTCAAACTGTTTAAAAACTTTACTTCCTAAAAAGAGCTGGAGAGTTTGTGTTCTGTGATGCTGATTGAAGATGGATCCAACTGCTATAAAGAGAAGAAGGCATGAGGCTAATATTCAGTTACAACAATTGCCAAGCCGGATGTGTTCCCACCTGTGTGGAAGCTCTGCCCTCCTCCACACAGTGCTAAGCCACAGATGAGAGACCTGTTTTCTGCAGAAGCTGCTGTGTATGTACCCAAGCACATAGGCCCCGGGAGTTCTGTGCTGGAGCTTGGCAGACTGACCTGCTTATTTCTACTAGGAGGTAAAACCATCTTCAGTGTAATCTCAGTACTTTGGGAGGCCGAAGCCGGAGAATTGCTTGAGCCCAGGAGTTCAAGACTAGCCTGGGCTATGTAGCGAGCCACTATCTCTACAAAAAAATTTTTTTTAATTAGCTAGGCATGGTGCCACGCGCCTGTAGTCCCAGTTACTTGGGAGGCTGAGGCAGGAGGACTGCTCAAGCCTGGGAATTTAAGGCTGCAGTGAGCTCTTGTCAGGAAGTAAAGTTTTTAAACAGTTTGAAGTCCATTTCACCTCATATCCCAACAGAAACATATAACATTTAATAAGGATTGTAGTGGTGGTTCTCAAAATGTGGTGGCTCCAGACCAGAAACCTTAGCATTGTTTGGGAACTTGCTAGCAGTTTCTACTTTAGATTTTACTAAATCTGAGACTCTGGGATGGGATTCAGCCTACACTCTAGCCTAGGTGACAGGATGAGACTGTCTCAAAAGAAAAAAAATACTCAATGTCATTGGGCAGGGGATGTGCTTGCTATTTATCACAGGTCTTGTAATTGCCTCATCCCAGTGGTCATTTGTGTTTAGAATCCCTCTATAAAGTGTGGCAGAAATGTTTATGGGTTGGAATTTTCAAAACAGCTGGCTACAAATCAAACTCCAGGGCTCTAAAAGAGATGCATTAGCCTTCCCAAGGATCTTTGGGTTTGAGAACCATGGGTTAGCAGTGTAACAGCTAGAAGAACTTGTATTGAAAATGTGGCCCTAACACTCAGACAGGTGGACTTGCTAAGTGGAGGTAATTAACGTGGACTAGGTGCATGTGGAAGATATGTGCCAGTGAGTTTTGTTTCAGTGTAATTAAAGCTGAGGTACAATTTCTGGCAATAGTTAAATGCCAGAATGCTCTATCTATTCAATCCTCTTTGATGGCAAAACCCTATTGTTATTAAACAAGAGGTTATATATTCTCATTTGGCTATGGCAGAGGGCTATGCATATGGCTAATCTAAGAGTAGTTCCACATCATTAATATGTACATTTTAAATTTTGGAAAAAAAAATTTAGTAATGTCTGGAATTGCCATCTGTCTTTGAGGGGACCAATTCAGTTAGCCTTGCTTACTACATTAGTAATGAAAAGATTTTATAAGTGTACCCCAAACTGGCAAACCATATGAACATGTGCCACTTGGTCCATAGCTACATTCTGTTTGCAAAGTCAATGGCCAATAAAAGGGCAATGAAGTTGCAAATTACTTTTAATTATTCTTGGCAAGTTTCTCCATGAAGTGATTAGAACAATAATAGTGGAATAACTATCTCATGTCTGTTTGCTACTTATGCTAAATAGTAGAGTCTACCAAACTTAATATTGAAACTGACTACATTTGGAAAGAAATTGTGTTAAGCTATTAAGACTGTTTTTGAGTTAGTACAGCAGGGATTCTTAAACGAGTCCACGGAAGACGCCCAGAAGTCTTACTAAAATTATATGCATAAATTTTGGGGTGCACAGGGTTTTTGAGGGTGCACAGGTACATGCAGAGTTTTGATAGGTATTATTTATAATCCTAATTCTTTAAAAGGAGTTTGATCCCCAAAAGTCAGAGCCCCCCACAATAGAGTTCTCATTTATGAGATTTGCAAAATATAAGCAAACCCATGGCACCAGGCTTCGCCCATTTTGCTCCCTTGGAAGGCCTCACTAAGCCATTGTGAGGCTCTTTCCCCTATGAAACCCACATCCAACCTCCACATCTGCTGCAGCATAGCATACCAATCAGTCACTACCAAGTGGCTGGTGCCATCATGTAAAGGAAAACCTATTCCCTTTTTTGTTTGGGATACACTATGCTTTGAGTACCTCCCGAAATGATCATGCTGCAAGCATGGCTAAATAACCCACCAGTCTGAAAAAAGTTTAAACTATTTCCATTGCAGATCTTTACTGATGTAGAAGAAGGTACGAAGCTGAATTCTGAGGTGTTTAAGGGATTTTTAAAAATTCTTTTTAAATCATTTCATTTGGGAGTATGCAGGGCTCGGGCACTGGCCTCCTTTGTTCTATCTTCAGATACTCCTTTATAGACCTCATGCTGCCCATGGCTTTAAACCCCACTGTAAACCATAATCCTAACACATTAGGATGACTACCTGGTTTATATATTCAACCCAAATTTTCCATCCTAAATCCACATTTGTATATTATCTGCCAAGGCAACATCTTCACTTAAATGTTGAAACTTGTCTTGTCCAAGGCAAAACTATGGATAGATCAATAAATCCTCTTTTGCTATACTCTTCCTCATCTTGGGTGATAGCAATTCCACCCCTCTAGTTTCTCAGGCCCCAAAATCTTGTCATAATAGTTCTCTTTGTCTCAGACCCCACATCTAATCTGTCATCAAATTCTGTTTGATTCAGCTCAGAATATAACCAGAATGTAACTGTTACCACGTCTCAACACTTCGGCTGCCATCACCCTTCTCTGAGCCTTCATCCTCTCTAAACTGGATTGTTGCAACAGCTTAACTGGCTTCCCTGCATTCACGCCTGCCCTCCCATATTCCAGCGCAACACAGCAGCCAGAACGATGTGCTTGATCAGATCATATTTCTCCTTCTTTGGCTTTTCATTTCATACAAAGCAAAATCCAAAGTCCTTACACTAGCCTCCAAGCAACTACATGGTCTGGCTCTCACTTCTAATCATAGCTCATGTCCTACTAATTCTCCATTGCTCACTTCACTCTAGACATACTGATCATCTTGCTATGCTTTGAAAATGACCGTCATGTTTATGCCTTGGAGGTTTTGCACTGTTGGTTGCTTGCCACTGCTTGTTTCCTCTGCCTGAAATATTCTTCTCCAAGAAATCTCCGTGGATAACTTTCTGACCTCCTTAAGGTCTTATTTAAATCTCATTTTCCTAATAAAGCCTGATCAGAATGTCCTACTAATACCGAGACTTGCCCTATGCCCTGAGATCTATATTGTAGTTTCTTCATTACACTCATAACCATCTAATAAACTCTATCAATTGTTTATTGCAGCCATTATTTTTGTCTTCTCCCTTTAAAATTCAACTCCATGAGGACAAGGCTATTAGTCTCCTTTGCTCACTGATTTATTCCAAGTAATTGGAATAGTGCCTGATATAAAGTAGGGGTTTGATAAACCTACATTTAATGGAAATGGATTACCCTAGGTCTATGAAGGTAGATAAAAGAGGTTTCTTGGGTCCCAACGGGGGCATTCACATTAACAGTTACAATTAAATAACTTCAGTCTAGAACAATGACAGCATTTTGTACCAGTCAACAATTATATCTATAAATGAGTGACTAATTCAAGAGTAGAAGATCAGGCTACAGATAGTCTAGTAATAGGTATTAGTCTATTAGAAAAAGATAATGTGTGACTGTGCAATTTCATCCAATAGCCTCTTAACATGCCTGCTGCTTCTGCCCTTGCACATAGACTATTCTCAACTCAGCAGCCAGAGGGATCCTATTAAATAGTAAGACATCCATTTCCTCACTCTGAGTGAAAAGGACCTTAAAATAGTTGACAAGACTTTCCAGGGATATCCAATCTTTTGGCTTCATTGGAACACACTAGAAGAAGAATTGTCTTGGGCCACACATAAAATACACTAACGATAGCTGATGAGCTAAAAAAACTAAATTGCAAAAAGCATCTAAAATGTTTTAAGAAAGTTTGTGAGTTTGTGTTGGACCACATTCAAACCGGTCATGGGCTGCATGTGGCCCATGGGGCCGCGAGTTGGACAAGCTTGCTTTATACTATTTGGCTTCCTATTGTATCTCCACTGCATCTTCCTCTCTTCCTGGCTTGCTTACTTCCCTTCATGCTGGTCTATTTGTTATTTCTCAGACACAGCTGGCAGGCTCCCACCTCTAGAACTTTGTACCTGCTGGCTCTTTCTGGGCATCATCCCTCCAGAAATCTTTAAGGCTTGCACCTTTACTTCCTGCAGATCTTCACTCAAATGTCATCTTCTCAGTGGGTGCTTCCCTGACCACAATATTTAAAGTGAAATTTTCTTTTGCAGATCCCTCCCACTCATTTGCTGCCTAAACTTTCAGTCTAGTTTTAATGTAATAGAATTGCTTATCTTATTTAACACCTGGTATATTTTGCCACATAATAAAAGCCCATAAAGGTAGAGTCTTTGTCTGTTGTGTTCTCTACTATATCCCCAGCATCTAGAACAGTTCCTGGCAAAAAGTATACACTCAGTAATTTTTGGTGAGTAATACATAAATATATATGCATGTGAACACAGATCTCACACATGCTTTTTAAAGTATCATTTTCAACTGCTACAAAGCACTTCTTGAGGTCTGAGTAGTGGGGTCCTGTCAGACTCTTGAACTGTAATAGAATTGCCTTTTTATTTCTGAGCTCAGCCCTTCCACTTGCCAAGTGAATCAATAGTATGAATCATTTATACTGCCCTATCTCTCTGGAGGCATTTCACAAATTTACAGATGTGTACAATCTTGGAGATTAAAGAGACTTCAGTGATGTGCCATGATATCTCCTTCACTTTAGAGATGATGGGTAAATAATAGATCTAAAGCAAATTAACAAGTTCTTCCAGCACTGCAACTAGGACTAAGGTGTTCCTACCAGCATACGGATCCTACTGTAAGTTCACCCTTGAATCTGTTTTAGTACAATGAGAAATCTCAGACAAGAAACTGAGCATCAGCCTTCACTAATGCATGCAGCTTTATGTAGGAAAAGAAAAGTTAGCTCAAATGTAATGTTATGTTTCTGGGCTTCTGAGGTTTTCATTTCTGTATTTCTGAGGGAATGATTACTCAGATAAAATAGGGAAATGATTAAAGTATCCAAATACTGTTTAAAATTCTAATTAACAGCATAACAGCTAGCCAGGCTAGTATTTAATTTGACCTAATTGTATTTTAATTATATAAGCAAACAAAATCATATTTCATTACCTGACCATATACATAGCTGAAATCAAAACTGTCATCATCTTAAACAATTTTACTTTTCTTAAAACTTTCCATGATTAAATTGGAATAAAAGCAAATAATTCAGAAATCACCTATTGTAAGTGGGAAAACATTTACACATCTCTTGTACCTTTCTCACTTGAGGATGTCTTCTCTCATACAGCACCAAAGCACTTACTAAAGTAACTGGCTCCCTGAAGCATCCAAACCAAAAGATGTCATTGCCAAGGTAGACAGAAACACTAGATTTTCTACATTTGCATTAAATAATTATAACTCCTCTGAGGTGAGTTTTTCATACCATATAGTTTCAGAAATGAGTCTTCTGTTGGCCGAAGCCCCCATTACAACTGAAGTATTTTCACATTCTTATTCACAATGACAACAAAGACTATCAAACTATTTTTAGGCAAGAAGAATAAAGATTACACACTGGCTACTGAAATTGGAGACTTTCGGTATCTTTAAGACAATAGCAACTAGATCACATGATCAAAACCATTATTCCTCATATTTCTTTAAATGCTTCCTACTATGATATTTTTCATCACTTTATAAGACGGGGTTGTAAGTGTCTTTTGGTGGCATGCAGTTAAGAGGGACAACAAACATGATGGATGATACAATCAGAACCTAATCAGGTCTCAATAGGTCTGGAACCATAAGCCAAATCTTTAAAGATTATGCTTAACTGGAATCAATATAACATCTTGTATTTGTTTCCCACAACAATCTCAAAAATCCATCATGAAGGAGACATGGCTGTGTAGTAGAAAACAATCTTGGAGTTGCATCCCGTAGTATGTAGAGTATGAACTGAGGAGTAACATGGCTACTAAAACAGATAATGTATACCATGTTCCATTAGCATGGGGCATGTGGGAATTGAACCGTTTATACAAGATCATACTAGAGCTGGGACACAGGACAGGCTACCTAATTTGTGTGACCTCTGTGTAAAGTGGAAATGTGGAGGCCCTTGCTTAAAAAAGAAAAAAAAAAACTACTACTATAAATTTCAACTCAATGAACAACACAAAACCAAGCACAGACCTGAGTTGGAGGGTCCTTTGAGATAATGCAGCTCACACACCTACGAACCCAGCCCCACTGGGACTTGTGTTCAGTTGAAGCCCTCACTTGAGAAACCTCAGGGGTAAATTCAAAGAAAAGCAAGGGGAATACATACATTTTAAAATCAAGTCACATAAAGACTAAATGAACTAGAAATATTTTTCTAGAGAAGAAATGACTGAAATGCAAGTGCCTGCCATTGTCTGCAAATAGTAGTAGAAGAGCTATTGTGTGGATTAGGAATTAGATTTTCTATGGCCCCCAAGTAACAGAATACCAATTGATAGAGAATTTATGCAGGTGCATTTTCATTTAATATTGTTTTCTTTGATGCAGTCAAGTCTACTGAAAAGAGCATGTGCTGCCTAGGCAAATAATAGTTTTGCAGTATGAGATATTCAAACATACGTGTGGTTATCAAGGTTGACAAGACTCTAGAGAAGTTGCTTAAGAATTCTCTAGGGATATACTTCCCAAATGCAAATTCACAAATTAATGCTAGCTATGCTATATCAAAATCACCTCAGCCATTTTAAAATGCTGTTTTCGGTCCCTCCCCTCAAAGGTGAAGCTCAGGATGTAGCTATTAAAGGCTCTCTAACTAGGAAACTCTGCTTATCAATTGGGGTTAGGAACCTCTGATCTAGAAGGAATTTAAATACTAAAAGACTATTTGAGTTCAATGAACTTAAATGACCTACCTAACCTCAATAGGTGTTCTCAGCCTGAGACTGAGTAGGGCCCCCTCCAGGCCCTGGCTGGGTTTGCTAGACTGATCATTCACGTATAAAGTCATCTCTCCCTCAGTTACCCAAAATCTGGGGATGCTCAAGTCCGGGCTATAAAATGGTGCAGTATTTGTATATAACCTATGTGCATCCACCCATATACCCTAAACCATCCCTAAATTGCTTGTAATACCTAATATAATGTAAATGCTATGTAAATAGTTACTATACTGTAATGTTTAGGTAATCTTGGCAAGAAAAAAGTATTTACATGTTCAGTACAGATACAATATATTTCTGAATATTTTTATCTGGGTTGATTGAATCCATGGATATGGAAACTCCACGGATACAGAGGGCTGACTGTAAAATGATAAACATATTTTTGGCTGGGTGTGGTGGCTCACACCTGTAATCCCAGCACTTTGGGAGGCTTAGGCGGGCAGATAATTTGAGGTCAGGAGTTCGAGAGTAGCCTGGGCAACATGGTGAAACCCCATCTCTACTAAAAATACAAAAATTAGCTGAGTGTGGTGGCTCACGCACAGTCCCAGCTACGCAGGAAGCTGAGGCCGGAGAGTTGCTTGAGGCTGGGAGACCGAAGTTGCAGTGAGCTGAGATCCCACTACTGCACTCCAGCCCCTTCCTTCAAAGGGGAAAGACTCATTCCCATTAAAAAAAAAGAGAATGGAAGAAATTTAGAATGTTCCCTCTTCTCTACCAAAAACAAGACTCCAAAATGTTTCAAGCTATGGCCGGCTAATCACTAAGTCATCTAGCATCAGAGTAAAGCTAAATTTTCTTTTTGGTAGAGGAGTGGGACTTATTTTCCTCCGTGTAGGCACAGGGACACCTAATCCTATCTCTTGCCCTAACTGTTCCTGAAATGTCTTCCAAATGCCATTCTCACTTCAATCCTTTGGGCAGAAAAATAGATGATCCATGTCAGAATGAATGGAGGGAATATTGTATGCTATTGTGTTGTACAACTGAGTAGAAATCATCTACAAACTGGTGGTAAAAATTTTGAAATGGCAGCTTAAAATAGCATCTTCAGTAAATGTTTTGAGGGTAGTCATGAAGAAAAATGGGGCTATAACCAACACATTTTATTATTCAAGTGCTCTTTAAAAATTTAAGGACAGCTTGTGGAAGACTTGGGAGAAAGAGTTATTTGAAACTTCTTTTTGGCTTATGGATTTCCTGTAACAATATTATCTGCTGTTTTTCCCCCCCTCAGGAGAAAACCTTCTAAACTATAAGTCATCACAGTTTATTCAGTATTTTGCCTCCTGGGCATGCATTTGAAACCAACCATATGTCACATTAGAAAAATGTGAGCACAGCGCAACTTTTATCTGAGACATATATGGAAATTTTTGAAAGAAATATTGATTTTCACTTGTAGGTGTGTAGAGCAGCAGAACAGTTTGAGGCTTGTTCATAATGTTCTTTAAACATAAGGTGATTTTTTTAAAACAAACCAAAACAATTATGATCATATTTTCCATTAGTCTGAAGTGTAGTTGTTGAAACTTTCTCAGAAATTTCAAGGGCAGAGATACTTCCTTGGAGTGTTGTACTTTTTGCATCCATTGTCACTGATTTAGACAAAAAATAGGTAATTTCCATTATATACTATAATTATATAACTATAATAGAAATCAATACCATAACAAAAAAGGCAAACAAAACTGAAGCTATTTCTCTCAATTTCCACATGTTAGGTGCAGGTTTATATAAAATAGAAATTTAAGAGGAATAGGAGTTGCTTAATTTTATTTTTAATAAGAGTAATACAGCAGCTTTTTTCAGACACCAAGGTATGATATGCATATTCTAATGTAATCTTTATAAGTACCTTATTAGTTAGGCAGAATCATGTGCATTTTAACAGTGAGGAAGCCAAGAGATAAAGGAATGTAAGCTGACCAATATCATGTAGCTGATAAACTTGGATCATAGGATGGTTAGCATCCATTCTCTTTGTCATATCATTACAATAATGAATTGCTCATTCAAAAAACTTAAAGAAACATCTGTCTAAGGGGTAAATGGAGACAGAGAGCTTGGTGTGGTTTCCTGTTCTTAATTCTTTATCTTGCTTATCTTCAGGATTGACTATTCAATAGGCAGACCTTCAGAATAACAGAAGGGAGATATCCCTGGTCTTAGTCAAGACATATATATATATATATGAGGGAGTCTCGCTCTGTTGCCCAGGCTAGGGTGCAGTGGTGCTATCTTGGCTCACTGCAACCTCTGTGTCCTGGGTTCAAGTGATTATCCTGCCTCAGCCTCCCAAGTAGCTGGGATTACAGGCACCTGTCACCATGCCTGGCTAATTTTTGTATTTTAGTAGAGACGGGGTTTCGCTATGTTGGCCAGGTTGGTCTTGGACTCCTGACCTCAGGTGATCTGCCTGCTTCAGCCTCCCAAAGTGCTGGGATTACAGGAGTGAACCACAATGCCTGGCCATGTCTAATATTTTTAATCTTCCACTGCTCTTGCTGAGATGAAGGGTTCTGTCATCTTTAAAACTATAGCAGTTCAAAAGACTAACCTTCTAGTTTTTCTTCCTTCCCCTCTCAATGTACAAGCATTAGAGAAATTCTCTAATTTTTTTTTGAAATTAATGATTTTTAAGTATAATTACACAAAAGATACTAGCTATGAATACAGATTTAAAGCCATCAAGATGTTTGCCATAACTTCCCACCAATAAATCCTGCCAGCATCCAGTGACATACAGCTGGAATTCAGTTTAGATAGCTTTTCCAGAACATTTCTCACCAATGGCCAAAATAAACAGACCACTTCATGTTTTCCAACCACTGTTTTTCTTTTCTCACAATTTTGAAATAAACCTGCCATCATTCACAAGACACAAGGAGAGTAAAAGAAACAGAATAACTTTCCAGTTATTTTGGAACTTCTACTGGAACTAAGTTGAAGAAAAAAACATCACTTTCCCCTTTATTGAAAACCAGCGTATTTCTCATCAAGTGACCCACTTTTCCGTGTGTCGAAGCCATCTTGAGAATAAATCAAGTCAACCAGGGAGGTCTTTTTAAATGGAAAGATACCAACTGGCCATGGAGTTGCAATTCACCCTTTCTGAGAAAATAATCTATTTTTTCTCACCTCCATGCTCAGTTTTAGCGAGCATGTTTCCTTATTCTGTTTTGCATCAAGTTTTCCACTCACTGCCCAGATAGTACAAGCTGTATAAACAACCTGCAGGCATTACACCTTCTCTAGTCCTAGATTCCCTTTGCTTTGTCACATACGTGTTGTTCCCTGGACATAAAAGTTTTATGTTGCTTTATCTCACTCAGGCACCCCATTATGTATCCCGTACAGGACACCCCCTGAAGATACTAACAGGATGCTTTCCTAGTTGTTGGGCTCATTCTTATTAAACACAGACACCAAGTATGAAAATATTATAGTCATGAAGTATAATCAGAGCTATGATTCTGATCTATGAATTTTCTTATAACACAATTTATAAAAGCTCATTTTTATTTTGTCCTTGTCCAAAAAATAAATCCTGGTGAAATGAGTGAGTCCCCTACATCTCCCACCTTAGTAAGTAAAATAGCAGGTAGCCTCAAGACAGATTCTTTGACATTCCAAGTATTCCCCAACTCAAGAAAATCTTCACCGTGCCAAGACAACTGCTCAGAAAGTAGAAGAAATTAGGCCAAATATTTATCATAGATCACACTATTAATACATTTCTTAAAAATGTATTTCTAATATATCTTTTCATCATATGAAGTAAAACACCCTCAGGAGTGAGGACCATTGCATTCACTTGTCGATCCACCCAGAATTCAGTAGAGTACGGATGTTTTCTTTTGAGAGACAGTGTCTATGTTGACCAGGCTGGTCTCAAACTCCTGGCCTCAAGTAATCTTCCCATCTCAGCCTCCCAAAGTACTGGGTTTATAGGTGTGAGCCACAAAGCCTGGCCTGAGTCCAAAAATTTTCAATAAATGTTGACTGTAATTATAAACAAAAGTTTAGGGAGGGGACACTGCATCTCAGAGGTATTGCCTGTTGGAATAGCCTGAGAATACAGGGTTTACACGTTTTCGCTCATAGTTTCACAAAACCAGTTAAGATTTAGTCTTATGTTTTCATGGGACACAGACCCAGATTAAAAGATTATAAATTCTAGCTATTTAAGTTCATTTTCTCATGTTTTGACTTACTTTCTTAAAAAATACCACTTCTTAAATATCCCAACATCTTTCTGTAATGGCCTAGATGGTCCATTAATGCTAAAACAAATCCTACACTTAGGCATCTATAAAAATATGTCATAATTAACCTTCTTGTGGATAAATTCCTTGAAGAAAACAACTTAAGGAAAAAATTGTATCTCCACCACAACCTTAATCCTAAAGACAACCTTAATTTCACAACCTTAATACTAAAAACCAGGATTTTCATCTGCAGATAAAGAAGTGCCATGTGGTTGAAAGGCTAAATGATTTCATTAAAACTGTGGATCCCAAGTATGCTGAATGTGGCTGGTAGCAGCTTGACATTCTCTCAACATTTTGTTTCCTTTTTGTTTAGGGGGAAAACGCAGAATTGGAATTTGGCTGTTGCAGGGGCTTATAATTTTCATGTGTTTCTGGTATGTTAGTTTCCTTACATTTTAGAAGGGAGAATTACAAATAAGAAAAAGGCCTCTCAGCTCAGCTATTAGTTTACTCTGAGCTATAAATAGACTTCTTGGCTGTGGCCTGAAACTAGGTGGATTATTTAGGTCAATAGCTGGTTGGAGACCTTTGGAATGAGCAGTAGGTAGAGATACTAATTGGGCACCTAGCACATTTCACTCCTTGTTGGCACTTAGCTTAGGGAGGAGCTACTGCATTTCAGTGGTATTGCCTGTTGGAATAGCCTGACAATATAGGGCTTACACTTTTTTGCTCATAGTTTCACAAAACCAGTTAAGATTTAGTCTTATATTTTCATGGGATACGGATCCAGATTAATGGCTTCTGTGAATATGCTTACTTATCCTAAGTCAACTGGAGAGAGTTCACTCTAAGCTGTGTAGTTCAGTGGACATATTGGATGGGTTCATTTCAAATGCAAATGAAGAGATTCTAAAGCCCAATTACCAAATTAATTTTAGGCTGTACTGGCTCTGGACAGACTAAAGGTAAGAAACATCTGACTCCCAAAATATTTGTCTTATTGATAAATTATGTTTGTGTTTATAACTTCATGTGCCTGTTACTCAAATACATGACTGTTTAAATGATTCTGTAAGTGATTTTTGAGCACCTAGTCAATGCCAAGTACTGTTTTAGACATTGGGAATACAAAACAAGATACAAGACCAAGGAGTATACAAAACAGAACTTGCTCTTACGTTTTAGTGATGGAGAAGGGCAACACACAAGCAAACAGATACATACAGAAATAAATATTTACAGCATTCCAATAAAGAAGTACTCAGCTAGGTTAAAAGTTTGAGAAGTTTAATTAAGAACTGAGGCAGACCATTGGATTTCCCAAGATGCAGGTCACTGATGACTTTCATGAGATTGGTCTTAATGGAGGGATTAGAGAAAAGCCTCATTGAAGGGGGCTAAAGCCGGAATGAATGATGAAGGGAGACAAGAATGGAATGAAGTCAACACAATAAAACACTCTTTCAAAAAAGTTTTCTACAAAGATAAATACAGGTATGAGATGATATCTGAAAGGAATATACTGCCAGCATATATTTTTAATGGAAACTATTACAATGTTTTTAGGCTGTTGAGAACAATCTAATATATAGTGAAGCAAATGATGAAGGAGGGGAAGAGAGGAATACACCTCGGTTGGAAAGAGGGGAGGGCATGTGGAATGTATGTTGAGAGGTTGTTTAGATAGAAGTAACGTGGTGCCACTCAGGTAACAAGGGGGAAGTGGAGCCATTGGCATAGATGCAGATAGGATAGTAGGTTTGATGTTGAAAGAATGACAGCATTCTTTTTTCTGATTTCTTCACTTTCTTTGGTAACTAGAAAATGAATGTAGTAGATAAGGAAGAGGAAAGAAGAAAGAGTATTAGAGTTTAGAGAAGAGAAGAGAAACTATGAAATAACGTCATAAAATGAGAGAACAAATTCAGCACGAAAACAGAGTAAACCCACTTCTTAGGGTTGCCTTGAGATAAGGGTCCCAGATGTTGCAATTTTTTTTCTCCAGGTGAGTTCAGCTGTTCAGAGTTCAGGGAAGGTGGAGAATAGGCTGTTCACTAACAAAAAGATTTTGGAAGGGAGGTTCCAGGCTCTTCGTTTTCCAGTGTTCTACCCTGAATTCCTAACTTCTAATTGCTAGTGTCTCTGAGGTTAGACTTGAACAATGATAGTAAGTTGATTTCTGTGTGCCTGAGCTAAGATGTTCACAATCAACTCTGGGATGTATCACCTCTCTTCTCTATCTGGTGACCCTCCTAATGTGGTTACTGATCCTATTTGAACTTAATGCTGCATCTGGAGGTCAGAATTTCTGGTCGGCCCCTTGTTGGATGCATCATACTGCTGCCCTTTTCATCCTGTTCAATTCTGTAGCCTATCTGAATGGGCTAAATTAAACAGTATAATTCAGTATAATTTTGGATGGACCCACGAGCTCTAGAAATTGAGAAAAAAAACATGAATGTATGGCTAGGTTACAAAAACATTAAAAACATTTTATATTTCACATTTGGAGTCTTCTTTTTTAAATAAAAAAATCCATGTGTAAATTTTCTAAAAATGTATTGTTAGGAACGTGTTTGGGGGTGCTTTTATAAATGCATGCATGTACATACACATTAGGCAAAGACATTTTCATCGTTTTTTCTTTTTGAGGAAAATCATCATCAGTTTCATCACTCATTAAGGTGCTTCTGGCTTATGTATTCCTGGAACTTGGCAACTTCAATCACCACAAATACTTGGTCATTTACTCTGCTTGTTAACCTTCCCATATATTAAATTCATGGGAGGACTGCTGTATCTAAGTCTACTTTAGCAATGGAATGTCAAGTGGGGTGAATGAAACCAAATGTGTCCACAGGAAATTATTTACCCAACAATCATGCTCACTCCCACGTTGAAAAAATAATATGAAAGTTCACAAGTTGGCTGGGCGTGGTGGCTCACGCCTGTAATCCCAGCACTTTGGGAGGCCGAGGCAGGTGGATCACGAGGTCAGGAGATTGATACCATCCTGGCTAATACGGTGAAACCCCATCTCTACTAAAAATAAAAAAAAAATTAGCTGGGCATGGTGGTGGGCACCTGTAGTCCCAGCTACTCAGGAGGCTGAGGCAGGAGAATGGCATGAACCCAGGAGGCGGAGCTTGCAGTGAGCAGAGATCGCGCCATTGCACTCCAGCCTGGGCGACAGAGCAAGACTCAGTCTCAAAAAAAAAAAAGTTCACAAGTTAATCATGCTATATAAAAGGAGAATTAGGTTTAGGTTTACTCAAAAACATACTAAATAAGACAACACACCTCACTAACAACTGACGTCTGGATTATAAGAGATTAATAAACAGGTCTTTTATCTTTTTTCAAACACAAAAACACATGGTCTCTTAAACTGCACCATACAAAGTGGTCCCATTTAAGCTTTAAGTGTAAGACCACATGAATCATTATGTTCTTTGCAGACATCATGAAATAAAAATATAATAAACTTAAAATAACCAGATATATAATTTTCAGCTAATTTATGTAATATCTTCCATTTCATTCTAATCTAGTCAGGAAGTTGTAGACAACAAAACTTTAAGAAAAACTTTTAGGCACAATCTTTATAATTGAGAAAATTATTAATTTATTTTTTTCCCTGCAAGCTCGGAAAATGACATTGCTGGATTTTACCAGTGAAAGCATATTTTAGAACCAATGAGGAAGATTAATTTGGGAAGAGGAGGGTGATTAGCTCTTTGTCTTGTTGGTTTCTTCACTTTTATTTTGATACTATAGCTCATATTGACCCACACAACACAGCACTTGATTGTATTGTTAATCAGGGGTTACCTACATGCAAAATATTTCTGTAAAACGACTGTAAACTTCTCTAAGTTTAGAGATTATATCTCCTATCTCTTTTGTAACCCCTCCAGTTTTATGATGTTCACTTAAATGCTTATTTGCCTAACTCCGTAGTGTTAAGTCACAAGCTAATTCTCTCCATGAATCACCTTAGAAAAATACAAAAAATTAAGAATGCAAGTCTTAGATGTAATTGATAGAATGATTCAAGTCTCTAACTTTTTGTATCTGTTCTCTAACTAGCCACTGTCATGGAGGTAATGATTCTTTATTGCACCAAATGGCTTTGATGCCCATTACTCTTTCAATTTATCTGTGTTATGCATTTCCTAGCATGTTATTCCCTGAATGTTTTGATGACCAAGTATGTGTTTAGCACATGAAGAGTGGAATGTACAGATAGTCCAATAGAATCTCAGATGCTACCTAAATAAAACGTTTGGTGACCATTGATCTAATGATCTTTCTCCTTCACCTGTTTTGGGTTCCTTATTTCATTCAATTTTATATCTTTTAGTATCCCAGAGCAGGCCATTTGCATCAATAAGCTCAGTAAGCATAAAACTATGAATAGGATTCATGATTCACCCATTTTACAAATGGCTCTAATTGCCAAAATGCTGCCTATTTGATATATATGCTTTTCATCTTCTTTTTAAATTTTTTTTTTTTTTTTTTTTTACTTTTTGAGACAGGGTCTCATTCTGTTGCCGAGGCTGGAGTACAGTGGCACAGACATAGCTCGCTGCAGCCTTGACCTCCTGGGCTCAAGCAATCCTCCTCTCTCAGCCTCCCGAGTAGCTGGGATCACAGGCATGCACCACTACACTCAGCTAATTTTTAAATTTTTTGTCACCATACTCAGCTAATTTTTAAATTTTTTGTAGAGACAGGGTCTTACTATATGTTGCCCAGGTGAGTCTCCAACTCCTGGGTTCAAGTAATCCTCCTGCCTTGGCTTCCCAAAGTGCTGGGATTACAGGCATGAGCCCCTGTGCCCAGCTTCTTTTCTGTAGGCATAAATAAGAATTCTAATCATTCTGTTTTCTCCAGCAGCATAAAATTAGACTTAGGAAACTATCATCACTACCTCTTCAAAACAATGACATGTAGCATTTCATATTTATCCATGACGCTTAAAATTTATCAATGGCGTAACAATCCACTTAGCATAGTATGCAAAGCATTCCACAAGCTGGCTTTACCCTCATTCTCTTTTTGGTCTCCTTGAGTACTGTATTTCATTATATGTGTATATTTATATGTATTCACATAAATTATACACACACACACACATATATATATATAAACATTTTATATTTCAGATTGGGAGTTTTCCTAAAGAAAATATCCAAGTTTGAATTTTCTAAAAATGCAGTGTTAAGAAATATGTGGGTGTCTATGTATGCATGCGTGTACATACACATTAGGCAAATACGTTTTCATTTTTTCTTTTTGAAAAAAATCATTGTCATCACTCATTAAGATGAAAATATATATTAGAAAGAGGAAGAGAGACTGACTTAAAAGATTCTATAATTCTCAAATACTTTTCAAGCCAGAAATCTCAATTATGAAAATATGTACCTAATAATTTAAAATATGAGAAGGTAGCAAAATATTTACAAAGATACTAATCACCAAATCATTTATAATTTTATAATTAACTTAGCATTTTCTATAAAGATGACTACTGAAGGACTGGCATTAAAATCATATTCTCAGAGTTTGTGAGTATCTATAAAATTTCGATGCTATTGAGGCAAAGGAAGAAAAGCAGAACTCAAAATAATCAATGTAATATAAAGGCAGATATTATAAAAATATTCATAGAAAACAAATCAAGAAATATTACACAAAAAGTGATTGGCCTGATCAATGGAATAGTAAATAATTTATATTATTCATTTTTCCATTCTTACATATGTATATATTGATTTTCTGGTATTTCTGGTAGAAGTTTATTCTTTATTATCTTAAGTAATAATTGTCAACAATAAATAATTTGGATCAAGGGATATAATGGTCAATGTAATATAACGTCTGGAACATTATTTCCAATTTTAGCGAATACTGTGCTTTAAGTGTAGCTAAACTACACTTAAATAATTCAGGGAAGGACAATCAGGATGAAATGGGATTTGAAAACTGTACCTTGCAAAAAGTAACTGAGGTAACCAAAAATATTTGACACTGAGAAGCAAAAGTTCTAAGATAATAGAAATAGATTTTTTAATTAAATAAAATCTTTTCATTTTTGAATAAGATGAAAATAATCTCTTAGGGCTCTCATATAAAAATAAAAGATGCTTTTCCTGGTGTTTCAGGAAATATAAGTGAGTTTGGGGCCTGGGGACAGCTGCATCGGCTGTTGCAACTCTCTAGCGAGTGTCATCCATCCATATACTTTGAGTTATAAACTGCCATGGCTATGTTGTCCAAACTTTCTCAGCCTCACATTTCCCTCTGTAAAATAGGAATGGTAACACTCAGTGGTGTGATCGATGAGAAAGTGCTGTAAATGCCAGATTCTATAGAGGAAAAAACAGCAGGTTCTTAATGTTATCTTTAAAACAGGAAAACAAAAGTACCTAAGTTATAGATAGGATCTGAACTCAATATACTGATGAATTCTGTACTATTCAGTGCTCCGCCACCTTGAAAAGGACTTCTTTGGAAAGCAGGAAGGCACTTTCTTGCCGGGAACATTCACTGTGAGCCTGGATGACCCACCAGAGCAGCTGAGAGAGGAATGTTTTCGTTGACTGGAGAGTTAGACCGTGTTGTGCCTTATAAGTTCCTTCAGTTCAGTATAACTTTTCAACCAATGTTTATAAAAATTTCCCCTTTTTCCTGCATGACAATGGCTGGACCTATGAATTGCCAGCATTTTTGTCATTCACTACTACTCATTTCCTTCACAGCTGTGTGAGTGTGACCAAGTTACTGATTCACTGTGCCTTAGTTTTTCATCTTAAAAATGGGATTAATAATAGTATCTCCCTAGCACAGAAGTTTCCGAAACAGATACATGTGAGGTGCTTAGAAAATATCTGACACAATGCAAGGGCACAATAATTATCAGTTGCTATTACTTATTATTCACTAATTGGTTGGTTTATCTCTTTTTTGTTACGTTAGGTCACTATCTGTAGCCTAATAAAGTTGTTCTCTGTTGTAAATGTGCAAACTGGTGGCCTTTGGACACATTCTGTCATTCCATGTAATTCCAAAGCTAAACATTTCTAAAGCAAATCCAGCTGGAGTTGTCGATGTCTTTTGCAAGATATTTATATAACATGTCCTATATCATTGGAGATATATCATAGTTATCTAATAAATCATTATTACTTATGATTTATTGATGTTTTAGCTTTTATGCCTCAAATACAATAATTAGGGTAAAACATAATTATTTTGTTTTGTAAACATGAAAGTTACTGTGTTAATCAGCTCTGGCTGCCATAACAAAACACTAGCAACTGAGTGGCTTCAACAGCAGAAATTAATTTCTCACAGCTCTGGAAGTCCAAGTTGAAGGTGTCAGCAAACTTGGTTCCTGGTAAGGGCTCTATTCTCTTTGCAAGTGGCTGCCTTCTCACAGTGTCCTCACATTGGTGGGGACAGGGGGGCAGGGGGGTGGTGGGACGTGGAGAGAGAACGTGTGTGTGTGTGTGTGTGTGTGTGTACGTGTGAGAAGGCAAGCGCAAGTGAGCGCTCTACTATCTCTTCCTCTTTTAATAAGGGCCCTGGACCTATCGGATTAGGGACCCACTCTTATGACCTCATGTAACATTTATCAACTCCTTATAGGCCCTATTTCCAAATACAGCCACATTGAGGGATAGGGCTTCAACACATGTATTTTGAGGGGACACAATTCATGTCAATTACCTAACTTTCTACTCATTAAACAGATGCTAATCAGTCCATATTTCACCAAAATTATTAAGCCTGTATTTCATTTTATTTGGATGGTATCTCTCATCATAAAGTCTTTTACTATATTTGGCCTACAATAGATACCCCCAGCCCACCCCGTTTGATGTCCCTATTTTTTCTTGTTGCCCACTTTTGCAATGTTGAAGTTATATTTGATTTCTCTCCATCCATTTATAATGAGTCACCACATTTGAATGACCCATTGTCTTTCAAGCAACTCAGAAATATAGCCTCATTTTTTTTAGCCATCACCACCTCATTCCAGGGTCCTAATCACTCACTGTACCAACGTCTTAACTAATCTTGCTTCTGTTTTCCTCCATTCAGAGAATCATGCACAATTTGCTCTTTCCAATGTAATCCTATCTTCATTTTATTACTTGCTGAAAAATCTATGCATTTCCCATCATAACTGAGTTTAAGAAAGGCTTTTTGATATTCTATAGCCTATGAATTCTAATTAAATAGTTTATATTTCCAATTACTTTTCAATACAAATTTATGAACTATAATTTTGGGAGGAAGCGTATTACATTTGAGTAAATACTAAATGTTTTTTGCCTATTATTTAGCAATCTTTATTTTCTATCTTAACCTTTTCTTGTATGCAAGACTACATTTTTCATGGTGCTATTCATAGATCATCAGTTTGTGATACAAGGATCAAGATTGTATGGAAGAGACCCTGGTGCTCTCTTTGCGTTGCCTGAAAGAGGAGGTGTCAGAGTTCTCTTTCTCCCAGAGGAGAGACTGCACCTAAGCTCAGCTGCTTGTGTCTTCCTCCTCACAGCAGTCAAGATGGAAACTTGTCATGGGTCACAAGGTCTCCAGGAGTCAGGCTACTGGTATCTCAGAAAATTCTATGTATAGGCCCTATCCCACTCCAGACTGGCTGGCTCCCAATATTTTGTTTGTTCCTTCACTGATGAGGTTGACCTTGTGCTTGACTCACAGGGCTAGGAGAGGTATGGCAGGCAGGATCCCTGCACTGCAACACAAACCCACGATATCTTAGCTGTGGCTCACCTCTAGGAGAATGAAAGAACAGGGTACACCTATGTGTATTAGTCAGGGTTCTCCAGAGAAACAGATCCAATAGGATTTATTCTTATGAGGAATTCATTCATGCTATTGTAATGGTTATGAAGTACCAAGATCTGCAGTGGGCAAGCTGGAGACCCAGGAGAGCCTATGTGTAGTTTCAGTCCAAGTCTGAAGGCCTGAATATCAGGAGAGATGATAGTAAAAGTTCCAATTTGAAAGCTAGCAGCCTCAAGACAGAAGATGAGTCATTGTTGCAGCATCATTGCAGTCTGGTCTGAAGGCCAGAAAAGACCAATATCCAGCTGAAGCAGTTAGGCAGGCAGAGTTTTCATTGACTCAGCCTTTTTGTTCTATTCAGGCTTTCAATTGATTACATGAAGCCCACCCACACTAGGGATGGCAATCTGCTTTACTCAGTTGACTGACTCAACTGTTAATCTCAACCAAAAACAACCTCACAGATATACCAAGAATGATGTCTGGCCAAATATCTGGGCACACTGTGTACCAGTCAAACTGACACACACAATTAACCATCACACATTGTCTTTTCTTCCCGACATATAACTTTTAAGTTTCCACTGTCCCCTGTGAAGTATATCCTTAATCCATACCATGTGATACTGTGGAATCCACCATGATCCCTGGTTTGTGACAGTTGATAATCCAGATGAGACCCACTTTGCATACAGAATGTCAAGAGTCATCTCATGTGCCATTCTGTACTGTTCCCCCTCCCTAAAAACTACCATCTTTTTGCCCTTTATTTACCCTAATACATTTGTACTCCAATTGATGTTTTCACCTATAACATCTGCAAATTCTAGCAAATTCTTTACAAAAATGTGGATTCATATTCATGTGGCATTTAGTGAACTACAACCACCACAAAGATTAGAGATCAGTGTCTAATTGTATCAGAAAATTTAAGAAGATTTTTCCTGGAATTGTGATATTTTATAGAGAAAGATCATTAGGGATCATTAAGTTCAACTTTATTTCAGAACCAAGGAAAGTTCACATCATTTTATTTTCTTTAAAACATAGCTATCTTAAGCCCATGTGTTCTCTTCATTGGAGTTTCAGAAGCCATGTGTTTCTTTTTCTGTAAATACTAAGTGGATCAGCTCACTGAATACCCTCCCCACTCTACAATTTTGGGAGACTAGGGTTTCTGCCTGATTGCTGGTGATCATTGCTAACACTCACAGAATTCTGGCCTATCTTTACCCAGAGGCGTAAGTTCCCAGCCTGATACACTATCAAATTCTCAGCCCAACAGTGTTCAGTAGTTGCTAAGATCTGTTGAATTTAAATGGAGCTTTGCCTTTGGGCACAATGAGCAGCAAGTACATAATGTGAGACAGCCGAAACCCAGACCCCCATTACCTGCATCCAGTTTAATTAAATGTAAATTCTTAAGCACTATTTAAGCCACTGAGTTTTCTGAAAATGCATGCCCTTAGGCTTTGAAAATAAATAGTATCTATTCTGAGTTCTACCCAGGTTTTGGCTATCTAACTAAATCATATGTTTTTTAAGATTAAATAATTGAACTTGGATGATAACTTTCCTGCCAAGTTCTCTTCTCTGGCCTTTAAGACCTTTGATGAGCACAATATGTGTGTTTCTGCCTTTCTGATGCATCCTTTGTGCTCTCCTTGAAGACAAACATTAATAAAGTGAATTGTTGGTTGTACTGAAGATACTTGTCTTCCCTCCTACCTGAAATCACAATTAACTTGTCAACCTCAATTTAGAGAAATAAGTATATATTTTTAGAAGCAAGGCATAGACATTGATCATTGGAAAGGGAAAATAACATTCTAAGAAAGATCTTACAAAATTTAATTGAAACACACATAAAATATAAAACAAAAATAATATCAGAAAGGGTAGCTGAGGTGAATTATAAATGCTATATTTTGTAAGCCTACATATTGAAAAGAAAAAGTGCTCCAAACTAAATTCAATCATTTTCAATCAATTTCTAAAATACTGAGTGATTTTCTCCTAACTCAACAAGGTTTCTACTTATGAAAACCAGATTATTTTTCTTCTCAAACCACTTTCATGGACCATGCTGGCTCTCAATCCTAATCCAAATTAAAAACAGCAAATTCTTAAAAGTTGCCTTTTGAAAGAAATTTGGCTTTGCTTATTTTTCAAAATACAAAACATAGTTGAGATTTCAAAAAATAACAGAATAAACCGAAATTTTGTTTGGGCTGGATTTCATTCTTTCCTCAGATTTACCAAATGTCTTTATTTGATACGATAAAGATAATTAAAAGTGTGATTGATGTCAATTATATAAGAGAATTAGAGCTAAGTTTGAAGCAAAAAACATTTTTTAAAAAGAAAATCCGTCTATTCAGATCTTCGATAAAAATAATGAAAAGCTACAAAGCATGATCTCTTCTTATAATTTATAATATCAATTCTTTTTATGTTTAATAAGATTATGACTGTGTTTGTAGTACTAAAATTGTTTACTTCTTTTGTAATGTAAAAAAATAAAACTTTCACCAGTTACTCAATTTAATGTATGAAAATTTTACTCAATCCAAATTAGTTTTCTTTAGTGATTTTTAGTAAGTTATGAGTCCCTCTTCAATATAATTTTCCAACATTAATTTATATAAGTTATTTGCCCAATTTCATTTCTTAACCAAGCGAATGCTATTGAGCATGGGTATTTTCTGTTGAATCACTGGATGAAAGCACATTTTAAAAGTAATTAGCTCATCCTCATAGTTAACCCAACAAACTAATGAATGTCGCCCATAACAACACCTGAGCTGGTATTTTCATTACATAATACCACCAAAAGTGATAAGAAAAAGGGTATCATATAAATATTCATAGGTCATTTTTATTCATAAAACCTGTGAAAGACGATAATGACAATTTGCCAGTTTGCATGTACCTGTGTGTGATATAGGCTGATCCTTTGTGGTGAAGGGGTCATTTTGTTGTTTTTTGTTTTTTTAAGCAAACATATCTTTTTTGAAATGCAGACTATAGCTTGAATTGTTCAATTTCCCACATTTTAAAAATTCATCAACGATTTGTGTGTTGTCCCCTCTGTGCTAAGCTCTGTTCATGCCACTGCTGCTGTTTTGTCTTTCCAGTTGCCCATCCACATTATATTTCAGATGCTGAAACAACGTGCCATCTGCCATCCCTCTCAAGAGTACAGGAGTCAGCCAAATACCTAGGCAGACTGGGGTGGGCCCCCAGTGAAACCCTACCTCCGAGCTGAAGACAGTTTGAAGCCTGAAAGCCAAGTTACAAGTTAAATCCTCAGACTAGATTGAGAACTTGTCTTCCATTTGGTGTGCTTTCCTCTGATTGATCCCTACCCTTCACCTGTTTCAAAAATACCTACCCTTTCCTAATTGGTTTTCTACACTGTCATGCCCACCTTTGAGTGGTATCTTTGCTTTGACCATTTTTGCATACTCACCAACCAATCAGTGCGCACTCCCCATTGAGTCCATAAAAGACCTCAGACCCAGCCACATGGGGGACTTTCCCACCTTTGGGTAGGGGGAACATCCCTATGTCCCCCTCTCCACTGAAAGCTGTCTCATCATGCACTAAAATTCTTCTTTGCCCTCCTCACCGTTCAATATACAGCACATCCTTATTGTTCTTGGGCATGGTACAATAGCTCAGGAACTGCCAGATTGGTATAAGCTATAACATAGGTGAGCTGGGGCATAATAGCATGGCTGAGCAAGGCCCAGGTAGGGCATCACCAGCCAGGGGTCCCTGGCTTGCATCGTTCTCACTCCCCACCCATTTATGAGCAGAATTTCCTATCTCTGTGCTGGTTTGGATCCCCTCCCTGCCTTAGATGTCTCTATCTGCATCCCATACATCTCTTCCTCCTGTCTTTAGAAGTGGGTCATTGGTGATGCTTTCATTAGCTCCTGTTGTCTTAAGAAAATTAAAATTTGGTGACTTTTTGTAAACTATATCCAATTTGTTTCCTTTCAATAAACTTTTTGAGAATATATTTTTTTTTTTGGTTGTTAGAAGGATTTTTCTCTTATGAAATTGAGAGACAGGACTAGCTGGATTTCCTAGGCCAACTAAGAATTCCCAAGCCTAGCTGGGGAAGGTGACCACACCCACCTTTAAACACGGGACTTGTAAAACTCAGCTCACACCCAACCAATCAGGTAGAGGGCTCACTAAAATACAAATTAGGCTAAAAGCAGGAGGTAAAGAAATAGTCAAATCAGTTATCATCTGAGAGCACAGGGGGAGGGACAATGATTGAGATATAAACCCCAGGCATTCGAGTTGGGAGTGGCAACCCCCTTTGGGTCCCCTCTCATTGTATGGGAGCTGTGTTTTCACTCTATGAAATCTTGCAACTGCACGCTCTTCTGGTCTGTGTTTGTTAGGGCACAAGTTGAGCTTCTACTCACCGTCCCCCACTGCTGTTTGCCGCCATCACAGACCCACTGCTGATTTCCACCCCTCCAGATCCAGCAGTGTGTTCGCTGCACTCCTGATCCAGCAAGTCGCCCATTGCCACTCCCGATATGGCTAAAGGCTCGCCATTGTTCCTGAGCAGCTAAGTGCCCGGGTTCATCCTAATCAAGCTGAACACTAGTCACTGGATTCCACGGTTCTCTTCTGTGACCCATGGCTTCTAATAGAGCTGTAACACTCACCACATGGCCCAAGTTTCCATTCCTTGGAATCCATGAGGCCAAGAACCCCAGGTCAGAGAATAAAAGGCTTGCTGCCATCTTGGGAGTGGCCTGCCGCCATCTTGGGAGCTCTAAGAACAAAGACCTGTCAGTAACAAAATACATGGTATCTCTAGTTTTCCTTGTTTAATTGTACTTTAGGGTATGTCCTTGGCAAAATTTAAAACTAGCAACAATAACAATATTTGTACTAAAATGCCAAACTTCAAATGTTCTAAAGATGCCCTCAAATTCCTAGCTGTCATTTTTGGCAGTTCCTTCTGGATCCCTGCTGCACCCAAACCTGTAAGATATGAGGGAATTGGTCAACAATACCAACAGAAATGCAATTACTGACTGTTTGGCATATGGCATCCTCAAGAAACCAGGATTACCCAGGCATACGCTTTTGTAGACATAAACCTAGGGTTAAAGTAAGTGGAAACATTTTAGTCAAGATCCCCATGCCAAAAATTTACAGTTTAAGAAAGAGCTTTAATTGGTCATTAAGTCCGTTGAGAAGCTCTAAAATCTCATAGGTCCAGACCATCCAATGCTTAGAACATGAGAGGAAAGTAAGAATATAGAAAACTGACAATCAAAAGAAGAAGTGAGTACAGACAATGGGGTTAAACTTAAGGACACCCTTATTTACCCAGCAGAATCAATCATAAGAATTTCCATAATATGATTAAAGCAAGGAGTCCGTACAACAGGGAAACTTCTGCCTGCCACTGGCAGGTGGCAGGAGACACTCCCTTGGATTTATGTATTGTATTTTGGAACAGTGTTCTCCATCATTATCCCTTCCAAAATAGGGAGTTTCCATTTATGTATTTTCCTGACCATGCCAATTTTTATTTTTTCTTTTCTAACAGTGATCCATTTTACATTTATAAAATTGTTTTCTATTTTGTCTTTTGTTTTTCATGACAAGATTTATAGTTCAATCTATGATATTGAGACTTTTGTGGGTGGGAGGTTGTAGGAAAAAAAAAAAAAGCCAAATCTTGATTGAGTCACTTAGTCAGAATTACAGGCTGTCTACTGGTATGTCACCTATGAAATGCTTCCTAGTGGTTTAGATGTCAAATCACATCATTTGGCAAAAGTCTACCATGAAGGAACAAGGCTCAACATCAAACTAATAATTCTGATTCAAAAATCCAGAACAAGACCTTTTAGACATAGCAATAGATTCAGGTAGATAGTGCCTAAACACTTCCTCCTAACTTGTATATGTGTGCACGTGATTCTACTAGTTCTTATTAGGCACCTAAGCTTGTGAAATCTCATACATAAAGGGAAACTTGCTAGGGAATAACTGCAAAATGAAGGCATCACATTTGATGTGTGGGTTTTAGCAACACAAAGCATTAGCGGTCACAGCAACCCCAGAGCCAAGGCCCCTGAGCCATTTAATGTGGTATCAGTCCGAATTAACACATGAAAGGGGATGAGTTTCAGTTCCCTGGACCAAACGACCAGTGAATGAAATATTTCCCATATGTATCCAGGAGAGATTGAGAGATGAGGTGTATGATTGGATGATCCCTCCCTCATAATAAGAAAACGTAAAATCACATTAAACTCTTTAAATCTGCACCTATGTTAAAGCAGCATTTCGCAAAGAGGATAAACACCTGTTTGCAGTAGAGTTGGTAAAAATATGAAGTATTATATACGGATCTGGTAAAAACCTGTCCAGAGGCAAAAAGAGAAGAATATGGTGGAATTGATTTATTTTAGACTGATATTTATTTCAGACTGATATGTAATGAAAAGCGAGATCCTGAGGACAAAGTTGTAATAATGTTTCTTCTTCCATTAAAGCCTCCAGCATCCTCTTTTTGCTATTCATTACTAAACTAATAGCTGTGCTTTCAATATTGCTGTCATTATTTTAAAACAATCAAGTATGTATGTTTGAATTTATATATACGCAGCTTTCTCTTTGACAAAGTGTGAAATATGAGTGAGTGTATTAATATCACAGGGAGCATATCAGTTTTGCAGTGAACCATACAGTTCACATGTCTGGGAAATGGTTGTATTTTATACTTAGTCATCAGCAATCTAGCTACAGATGTATGCTCAGATGGGGCATCTCACCGTGCTAGAGAGGCAGGAGGCGCAGTGCGTCTAGTATTACCCAGTATAATGCCTATGTGACCTAGGTAAAGTACCACTCCACCTTAACTCTGAATTTTTTTGAGACAGTCTCGCTCTGTCACCAGGCTGGAGTGCAGTGGCGCGACCTCGGCTCACTGCAACCTCCACCTCCCGCGCTCAAGCGATTCTCCTGCCTCAGCCTCCCGAGTAGCTGGGACTACAGGCACGCGCCACCAAGCCCAGCTAACTAATTTTTGTGTTTAGTAGAGATACGGTTTCACCATATTGGCCAGGGTGGTCTTGATTTCTTGACCTCATGATCCACCTGTCTCAGCCTCCCCAAGTGCTGGGATTACAGGCGTGAGCCACTGCACCTAACCAACTCTGCATATCTTTAGGAAACAGGATGCCTGAGGTCAAAAGTTCCCCCTCATGACCAAACTGGCTAAGACTGGTAGGATCCAAGATGGTGGCTCACTTGACTTCTGAAGAACCTCTAACTTCATATTATAATCTAATATTCATACTAAATGACACTCCCACCACTGCCATGATAGTTTACAATCATGACAACCGGAAGAAGCCATAAAGTGACAGAAAGAAAGGTGGCAATTGGTTACAAGAAGTTCTCTACCCATTCCCAGAAAAGACAAATATTCCTCTCCTTTCTTTTAATGCCCAACCACTTCATTAAAGATGCCCTTTATCTGTGAAGTTCTGGCTCTTACAGACTGAGAAGTTTGTGATCCCAGCTTCTGCTTCTCAATTTCATGGCCATCAAATAAAGCCTATGCATTCACTTTCAATTTTGCATATTAGCTTCAGGGCACTAAAAAGGTAAAGACCCTATTTTGGTGAGCACTGGCTTGATGGTAACACTACCAATGTAATAAGTTTGTAGGTAAAAACAAAGACTCACCAACAGTGAACACTAATGTAAACTATGGAATGTGGGTGATAATGATGTATCAATGTAAGTTCATCTATTTTAACAAAAATATCACTACTAGAGCATGGGATGTTGACGGGAGCGAGGTTTACACGTATGGGGACTGGGGTGTATGGGAAGTCTCTTACTTTCTGCCTGGTTTTATAGTGAACCAAAAACTGCTCTAAGAAATAATATCTATTAACTGCAAATAAGATACAGAAATGATCCATCACAGCAAGCTTCTGATTTATTCAAGCCGGTATTATCTAATGGAGGAAATTTCTTACCACTGGTGTCAATGTTAACAGTTAAGGGGTATATTTCAAATATGCCTAAAAGTCCTTCATCACCTTAAACCTCAAGCATGGTAATATCTTCAGTTTGTCTCCTTCAAATGTATCTAAATCATGCTGAAATTAAAATGATTTCTTGGTACAGTGAATTTAAGTGGACTTTCAAATAAAAAGAGGATATTTCAACTAAACACAAAATCCACATGTCAGCTGGTACTGCCTATCTCTTGAGATCCCTTGAAAATTGTCTTAGATCCTCAAGTTGCCCAGATTTCTGAGAATGCGAGGGTGGCTTACATTCTTGAATTCCCTTCTACTTCCAGTTATGTATTTCTGGTTTAAGTCATGGTAATCCATATAGAATATGAAACATTCATTTCTAGTATTCATTTGTGGTAGACTTTACTGAAAGTAGTTTCTTTGGTAGACTTTAAATCAAGGTAATGTAAACAATTTTAAATTAACAATGTATGTCCCATTTTTAAAATATCTTTCTATAACCTGTGGAAGAATTTTACCTGGCTGTCCAGCACATATATCCTCACCTCATCCTACCTCTCTGGCTCTTCTCTCTCCTCCCTACCTTCTCCATTCGTCTCTTATTTCCTTCCTTTTTGTGAGCAAAACAAAAATTCATATAATTTTTTTTATCTAGACCATCTAACCTTCTCCTTTTATAGCTTGGTCTCCTGTTGACATCTCTGCTGTCAGAGTCACATCTTCCACAAAGGCTTATGAAGATATTCTGACAAAGTTCCTAAGATGACTTTTGGTGCCAGCTGTTAATATACACCTCACTTGGTTATGTAAGCTGACCATTCTTTATCCTGAAACTATTCCATTTGCGTTGAAAGGCACAGAGAGAAGGAAAGCCAGAGATTATACATTGAGTCTCTCCTGCACACTGGGCACTTGTCTAGACATATTTGTATGCATTTTCATGTAAACTTTGCAATAGCTCTGTGAGGCAGCTAGAATTGCTACCCTTAATTGAGAGATGAAGAAGCAAAGGCTCACAGAGATTAAGAAATTTGTTTAAAATTACACATTTAGTGGCAGAGGCTAGACTTGAAAAAAATCTATCCTGATGAAAATATAAAGTTTGTGTATTTTATCTGTTGTCATAAGAAAGAAATATGGACAACTAGAAGAAACACCAGGCATATTTTTTTAAAACGAAATTTTAGGGCCAGGCGCAGTAGGTCATGTCCGTAATCCCAGCACTTTGGGAGGCCAAGGTGGGTGGATCATGAGGTCAGGAGATCGACATCATCCTGGCCAACATGGTGAAACCCCGTCTCTACTAAAAATACAAAAATTAGCTGGGCTTGGTGGCACATGCCTGTAATCCCAGCAACTCAGGAGGCTGAGAGAATTCTCCTGTTCAAGCAGGAGAATCGCTTGAACCAGGGAGTTGGAGGTTGCAGTAAGCGGAGATCGCACCACTGCACTTCAGCCTGGTGACAGAGCAAGACTCCGTCTCAAAAACAAAACAAACTAACAACAACAAAAAACCTGTAGCTTTATGACCTTGGGGGAAATTACCAAACTTTTTTGATTCTTATCTTTTTTTGTCTATAAACCGATGATACTTCTGACCCAGCTGAGCTGTTTTAAGGATTCAACGATACAATGTAGATGAAACTATTTCATAAGTTGAAGTTTTATTTAATGAAGAACAACAGATTTTGGTCATGAGTGGCCTGGCTTTAAATCATGGACCTTTTCTGTTATTTACAAATGGTATGATATTGACCAATTTATGTACTCTCTAAGCCCCAGTTTCTTCCTTCGTTAAAAAGAAATCATGAGAACTAAAGTTGTATACACTAAATAAGATGAAGAATGTAAAGTGTTTAACAGAATGTGACACATGGTAAGATATAAATACATTTAATGATTTGTTTTGGTTTTAGTGGTGCCATTTAAAAAATATTGGAGGTAAAAATTGTGATTCTTCCTCTTCAAGGTGGCCCACACACATTGTACAGGGGCCAGGTTATCAATCTACCCTACATGCCACCACTGGCACCCACACACATCACCCAGACGCCCGAGTCCAGGTGCAGCCTTCGCACCACCACCACCATGCTGGTGCCCAAGGACTGGCCCATCTGGTGCTGCATCCCCAGCAAAACGTCATCACATATGTAAAAATGAGGATTAAAAATATCTATTTCATCGTGTTGTTTTGATGATTAAATAAAATGCTGGCATTTACTTAGTTAATATTAGGTCATTACCTATTCTTTTACAAACTCCTGGAGAGGTCCATGAGTGTGTGGATTGAATGAATGTGTTGTTTCTCTAAGGCAAATTATATAAAGAACTGACTCTTGAGCAACCTAGGTGTGAATTGTGAGGCTCCACTTATATGTAGAGATTTTTTTCAATAGACATTTTGGAAACTTTTTTTGGAGATTTGCAATAATTTGAAAACCTTGCAGACAAACCGTGTAGCCTAAATATAAAGTAAAACTAAGTTATACTCTAAATGTATATAATATATAGGTACTAGTCTATTTTATCATTTACTACAATATACACAAATCTAGTATAAAACAGTTAAAATGTGCACAGACAGTACATGGCACCGTTCACAGTAGAGAGAAATGTAAACAGAATGCAGCATTAACTAATAAATGCATAAAATTAACTGTAGTACACATTGTACTACTGTGATAATTTCATAGCCACCTCCCATTGTTACTGCAGTGAGTTCAAGTGTTGTGAGTATCCACTTAAAATGCCGTGTGATGCTCATCATCTCCACAGAGCAGTTCATCTCTTCAATAAATTGTTTATCATGGAAAAAGTGATCTCTTGCAGTTCTTGTATATTTTTCATAGTGTTTAGTGCAATATTGTAAACCTTGAATAACACCATGGGACCCATACGAAGTGCCACTAGTGATGTTCAAAGTGTTCCCAAGAGGCAGAGACAAGTCATGACATTACAAGAAAAGGCCGAATTGTTTGATATGTACTGTAGATTGACCTCTGCAGCTGCATTGCCCACCACTTCAGACAGATTATTCATCTTGTCAACACATGATATAAACCTACAGTATTAATCAGTACTTTAATAAATATATTTTCTCTTCCTTATGGTTTTCTTTATAACATTTTCTTTACTCTGGCTTACACTGTTGCAAGAATGCAATATATAACAAATATGCAAAGTATGTGTTAATCAACTGTTTATGCTAGTTATTAGCAAGGTTTCTGGTCAACAATAGGCTATCAGTAGTTAAGATTTTCAGGGCTGGGCTACAGTAGCGCCTGTCTGTAATCCTTACACTTTGGGAGGCTGAGGCTAGAGGATGACTTCAGCCCAGGAGTTCAAGACCAGTCCAGACAACACAGTGAGACCCTGTGTCTCCATTAAAAAAAAAAAAAAAAAAAAAAAAAAAAAAAAAAAAAAAAGGCTTGGCGTGGTGATGTGTACCTGTGGTTCCGATTACTCAGAAAGCTGAAACAGGAGGACCACTTGAGCTCAGGAGACTGAGGCTGCAGTCAGTCGGCCCTGTTCATGCCACTGCCCTGCAGCCTGGACAAGAGAGTGAGACCTTGTCTCAAAAAAAAAAAATTGCTGGGAGTAAAAAGTTATATATGGGTTTTTGATTGTGTGGGGGTTGGCATGGCTAACCCTGTTTTGTTCAAGGGTCAATTACGTACAGTTATATATATACATGTATATGTATATATACAAAAACACACACCTTAAATTCCTTCTGTAGCCTAATCTTGATTCCAAAACTCTCCTCCAGATTGCTACTCTGGCAATAGCAATATTAAACGGTAGATACTAAAACCTAAAGAGCTAGAGATAACTTTCTCCAACCTACTGCCTCATCTGTATGGCTCAGGGGTGGTCTTCCTAATTTGACTATCTTGAAGTAAATGATTCAGAAGCAATTTGACACAGGTATAATTTTCATTCTGTATCTTATTGCCATGCTATAGTACTATTTGCCAACTGTCATCCCTTAGAGCAGTAATACTGTGTTACTGCTCAGAGGGATGTTGATAAAAAAAAGAAGGGAATGGTTAAAAAAAAAAAAAGAATAGAATAATGCAATGCAAAATAACTTGGCTTAAAACCCTTGAGGTGATTCATAGACACATCTGGCTTAACTTCTGCATGTCTAAAGGGTCACTGATTTTTTGAACAGACAAGCACATAGAGAAAAAAAGCAGGCATATTGCATGTTTTATATTCTTTATAGTCTCAGTGACAGAGATACATGTGCTACAAATCAGGGCAATTTGGAATCTAGTTTAAAGCCTAATTACAGCATTTTACAAACAGTTCCATAGAATACCACTGTCATGTAAGATGTTAACAGATACTCTGCAAAATGAAGGGGTTCCTAGATTCCAAATTTGAACGTGGCTTATAACCTTCTTTCCCTTCTGTAAGATTCAAAATATACTTTACTGCATTCAAAACTTTGAGAAGTCCAAGAGGATAAATGGTTGTATGGATAGAAACATAGATAGACTTTTAATTATTATTTTGTCTTGCATTTTCTGCATTTATTTGACTAAGGCAATCTTCTTTTGGAAATTTTTAATGTTTTGTAAAATGATTAACCCCTTTGTGAGGCAATTTTTTTTTCACCCATAAAGAAAAACTAATACTCATCCTTCATTGTTATTGTGAAAATTGAGTTAATCCATATAAAACATTAGAATAGGCTTTGTTACAATTAAGTCCTCCATACGTGTGAGCTGTTGTTACTGTTGTAGTTGTGGTTATGGTTATCACTAAAAGACATGACTTCTTGAAGAGGGTGGTTTGAGAATTACAATAGAAGCTGTGGCAAATTCTAAAAATGGTAGTAACCTCTTCCACTCTCATCATAGGGAAGAGTGTACTTCTATAATTCTTAAGCCTCAGCTGAATTTGAGATGGGTTTTGACCAGTAGAATGTAGCAGAAGCCACATTGAAAGTTCCAGCCCAGGACTCAAGAGACAGACCTTGCACACTGAGACTCTCACTCTTGGAACCCTGCAATCTCCATGGGATTTCAATGCAAACAATTCCAAGCTAGCCTGCCAGAGGATGAGACTACCTGAAGAAAGGCTCCTATCTCTCTAACAAGGCTATTGTCAATGATGCACCCTGCCAATACGCCAGCTTATAGTAGGTGCATAATTATACCAGTCCAGCTGGCCCAGACCAGTAGAATTACCCAGTGAATTATGAATAAAATAAATAGATGTTTTAAGCCACAGCGTCTAAGGTAGTTTGCTGTGCAACAATAACTGATACATCAGGGAGAAAAAAGAAAACTTCTCTTGCTTTTACTCTACTATACTCTGCAGCCTCTCAGGAACCAATTGTACTTATGAAAACAAGGTGATACGTTAACACAATGTACATTTTGCTACTTATGAGAAGTCACTGATTCATAAGTATGCAACATCTGTTTGGTGTTGAAAATGCTATCACACAAAGATTATTTTTTATCTGCATCTAACCTCACCGTCAACACCATTTTCAACTGAGAAGGATAGCAATCTATGTACTGCCAGACATATTATCATCGTCATATTCACCTATATACCCCAGGAATGATACCCTGAATCAATGAATAAAGAACACATTGAAAGATAAGATGCTGCTCAAATCTCACTGGAAATGTCATTTTGTAGTGCATCTCCCAGTATTTCTTGTTGTAAAAATAGAATACTATCTTTTCTATTCCATCAGTCTGTAAAAACTTCACAGAAGATTCACAATATTGGAATATTCTTTGTTTAATGACTCATTTAAAACATTGAATGTCATATTGCATTTGATTCTGCAGGCATTTTCATCACAGTATTAGCTGGGGAACACTTTGACTTTCAGAACAGATTTTGCTGAAGGTACTTATTGAGTAGGACCCATGGATGCCTTTTCTCACTAGGAACTCTGCAGTAACTAATTTCATTAATTCACTGAACACCACAAGAAAGTGAATACTATCACTATTTATCATAATAAAAGTATAATTTAGAAAAATTATTTAAACTAGTTCAGCAAATGTTTGTTGACAACTACTACGTCTTAAAATTTTGATAGCCATTAGTGATTCAAAGTGAAGAACTACCATCTCTGCCCTTACAGAGTTCCCCGTCAAGTGGAAAAAATGATGTAACTGAAGAACAATTAGAGCTTAAAATATCCACACCCAACAACAAACTAGCCAAACTTGACATTAATCCTGTAAGTGATTCAATTATAATAGGCATTATTATTATATTGCTAGTTATTAACAGATAAAACAAAGTATCAGAAATCAAGCTGCATTAATAGATTGGTGTTTATTTCCTGGCAATTGTTCAGAAATCAATTATGCTGGGCTTTTTGTAGTAACCAACCTAGCACTTGGACACCGAGCCATTTGAGAGAACTTCTAAAATACTGATTCATGGGTGCCAGATGGGCTCCATACAAGTATTTGGAAAGTGGAATTAACTTTAGGTATTTGGGTACAATTGCTGAAATTACTGGATAGAGCCTATCATGATTATGAACATGTGACTTGATATGAGACTGACCTGGTTTTCAATTTTGATTTTGCCCAATTGTAGGTGTGCAATATTAAGCAAGTCACAGATCTTCCCTTTTTTTCACCTTCTCATTTTCATGCTTCCTTGTTACATGTATACCCATGAGCAATAATATATCATGCCACAAAACAAAAATTCTCTTACCTTTGATGAAGTTTATTTCCTTTTTATAAAATGAGGAGTATATTACTCCCCAAATTCCCAAACTTCAAACTATAGCAATCTGAAGCAGTTCAATGCAGGACAACATAAACAACTTCATGGATCATAAGAATGTTAGCTCCGCTGAATGTGTATAAATTAATGGAAGTCTCAAGTAGCCACGGATTAGATGGCTTCTAATTTCAGAAGAAAATCTTTAGAAATATGTCTATATGTATTAAGCATCACAAGAACATTTCATGTGAGTTTGTAATAGTTCCTGTTTTATTTCAAACATTAATAAAACACACATAAGGCTGGCCACGGTGGCTCACGCCTGTAATCCCAGCATTTTGGGAGGCTGAGGTGGGTAGATTGCCTAAGGTCAGGAGTTCGAGACCAGCCTGGCCAACATAGTGAAACCTCATCTCTACTAAAAATATAAAGAATTAGCTGGGCGTGGTGGCAGGCACCTCCCAACTACTCGGGAGGCTGAGGCAGGAGAATTACTGGAACCTGGGAGGGGGAGGTTGCAGGGAGACAAGATCCCACCATTGAACTCCAGCCTGGGCAACAAGAGTAAAACTCCACCTTAAAAAAAAAAAAGATACAAAACTTCATACGAATGGTTTGGGGCTCTAAATACAGCTTTTCCACCTCACTGCATTCTCCTTTGCCTTATTGTTTTTCCTACTCACCCTTTTCAGGTTTTTTTCCTAGCCTAACTAGCCTCACAGACACAGTTATAAATAATCTTTGGCCAATTAGAGTAGCTTCCTTTCAACTCAGAAAGTATTTGGATTTTTATTTTTTAACAAAGAAAAACACCTCTAATTGTATTAGAAAGTTCCTCTGCAGGGGGCCAGGTGCAGTGGCTCATGCCTGTAATCCCAGCATTTTGGGAGGCTGAAGCAAGAGGATCACCTGAAGTCAGGAGTCAGAGGGCAGCCTGAGCAACAAAGTGAGACTCTGTCTTTAAAACATTTTTAAAAAGAAAAGAAACTTCCTCTGCAGTCTCTCTGGATCAGCCAAAGACTAGTCTGCTACTTCTACCACTCAGTAAGGAAATGTTTTCCAAATTTTTGTTTTCTCTACTCTATTAAAGACATATAAATCTTAAGATATAGCCTGATATTAAGTCACTTAAAAATTATGTATTGCAAAGCTTGCCTTGCCATACACATTGTTCGAGGCCTGGGTATTGACAGACCCTATCTGATACTGATGGTTGCCCTATGCAACATCTCATTAGGTACCAGAGGAAGAAGCTGCTATGTGTAGCCTTTGTGCAAGCAACCTTCGTGCAAGCAACCTTCGTGCAAGCAACCTGGCATCTGGGGATTAATCTTCCCTGCCCTCCAAAGGCACCATATGGAGGTCTAACAGGTCCAGTGCACCCACCACCACCAGTGGTGCCTGAGAACAGGCCTGCCTCACACACCACTGCAACTGCTATTGCCCACATGTGTTTTATGCGGCTTGAGAACCAGCCAGCCTTTCCCATTGCCACTGCCACCTGCATGTGAATGTACTGTCCGGGGACCTGGCCCCATCCATCACAGCCAGCAGCTACATATACCACTGGGGGTTCCATCCCACCCATCACCACTGCTGCCAGCACCCATACAAATTGTACAGGGCAGAGTATAAGTTCAACCTACCTACCACTGCTGGTGCCTGCACACACCATCCAGAGGCCTGAGGTCAGACCCAACATTTGTACTGCTGCCAAACTGGTGCACAAGAACTAACCCAGCTGATGTTCCCACCCCCATCAAAGTCTTACCACAACCTCCATTAACAATTGCAGTCTAAGCCACTTAGGTACTTCCAGATATCGCTGACACTGAATATAACTGAAGTCATACAAAGACTACACTGCTATACCCATCCAAAATCAAAGCCAAAGCAACTTACTTAACCAATACTATAATACATCTGTAGGAAAATATCTTTCCTTACAAAGGCCTATCCATAAAATTGGAAGAAGCAGCTATTACACCAGATGTGCAGATATTAACATAAGGACACAAGAAACAAAAAAAGGAAACATGATGCCTCCAAAAGAACAAAATAATTCTTCAATAACAGATCCCCAAAACAGGAACTTTATCTTGAATTCCTTATTAGAAATTTTATGATGAGAAATTCAGTGAAATATAAGAAAACACCAACAATACAAATAAATCAGAGAAACAATTTATGCTCTAGATGAGAAATTCAAAAAAGAAACAGATATGTTAAGAGCACCAAAAGTCCTAGAACTGAAGAAATCAAAGAAATAAAAAAATACAAGTGTCAATAGGCTAAGCAAAATAATTTTTCTAATAATGCAGGCAGAAGAAAAAAAAAAGGAATGAATGAAGAAAGCCTATGTGACCAGTAGGATGCCATAAAATGACCAAAATTTTAAATGAATTCTGGAATTTCCCAAAGGAGAAGAGATGGGCAAAGGCATAGAAAACCTATTTAATAAAAATAGCTAAAAACTTCCCAAGTCTTGAAAAACATATAGACATCTAGATAGATGAAGCTCAAAGATCCCCAAATAGGTTCAATTCAAAAATGTCTTCTCCAAGCCACATTATTGTCAAACTGTCAGAGACAATGACAGAATTCTAAAAACAGCAAGAGAAAAAGCATCAAGTCACATAAAAGGGAACCTCCATCAGACTAACAGTGGACTTCTCAGCAGAAATCATGCAGGTCAGGAGAAAATGGAATGACATATTCAAAATGCTTTATAAAACAAGTACCTTTTAGCCAAAAATACTAGACCCAGCAAAGGTATCTTTCAAAAATGAAGGAAAAATAAAGTCTTTCCCAGACAAGCAAAAGCTGAAGCAATTTGTCACCAATAGACTGGTTCCTACAAAAAATGTTTAAAATAGTCCTACATCCAGAAGTGAAAGGATAATATCTACCATCATGGAAATACATGAAAGTATAAAACTCACTGGTAGACTAGATACACAAATGAGAAAGAGAAAGGAATCAAGTGTTACCATTCTGAAAATCACCAAACCATGATGATAAACCATAAGAAAATAACAAATGGTATATAAAACACCCAGAAAACTAACAAAATGACAAGAGTAAGTCCTCACTTATTAATAAGCTTGAATGTAAGCAGAATTCCCCAATTAAGAGATGTAGACTAGATGAATGCATTTAAAACAATGACTCAGCTATATGCCACCGATAAGAAACTAACTCCACCTATAAAGACCGATATAGATTTAAAGTGAAGGGATAAAAAAAGATATTCCATGTAAATGGAAACCAAAAGCAGAAAAAAAAAAGTAACTGTACCTATAGAAAACAATTTAAATGAAAAACTGAAGAGACAAGGTCATATATTGAAAAATAAATCATATTAGCAGGAGGATATAGCAATAGAATAAGACAAGTTTTATTCTATATTGATTCAATAACATTATTGAACAATATTTAATAGAAAGAATATTGAAAACTGTACAACTACATGGAAATTAAATAACATGGTCCTGAGCAACTATTGCATCAATGAAGAAATTAAGGAAATAAAATGTCTTGGAAAAAATAAGAACGAAAAACAGTATGCCAAAACCAATGGAATGTAGCAAAAGCAGTGCTAGAAGGAAGTTTATAGCAATAAATGACATCATAAAAGTGGACAGATTTCAAATACACAACCTATCAATGCACCTTAAGGAACTAGAAAAAATAAGAAAACAGAACAAAATTAGCAGAAGAAATGAAATAACAAAAATTAGAGAACTAAAAACAGACTAAATGAAAAACATTGCCAAGAACCAATAAAACAAAAACTTGTTTTTCTGAGAAGGTAAAATTTTTAAACTGCTAGCTAGATTAACCAAGAAAAAGAGAAGACCCACATAAGTTAGAAATGAAAAAGAAGGAATTACAACTGATACAACAGAAATAGAAAGGATCATTAGAGACTATTAATAACTCTATGCAAACAAATTAGAAAATCTAGAGGAAACATTCCTAAACGCATACAACCTACTAAGACTGATCTAGACAGAAATAGAAAACCTAACAAATTAATAATGAATAATAAAATTGAATCAGAAATCAGGTGCGTCCCAATAAAGAAAAGTTCAGGACTGAATGGCTTTAATTCTGCATTTTATCAAATGTATGAAGAACTAACACAGATTATTCTCAAACTATTACAAAGATTAAAGAGGAGACAGTTATTCCTAACTCATTCTACAAGGCCAGAATTACCCTGATACCAACACCAGACAAAGATTTTAAAAAAACACAAAAACCTACAGGCCATTTTTTCTGATCAATACAGATGCAAAAAACCTTAACAAAATATTAGCAAACTTAATCCAACAACACATTGAAAAGATAATACATCATGATTAAGGGGGATTTGTCTCAGGGATGCAAGGATGGTTCCATGTACATAAATCAATACATGAGATACACCACATCAATAGAAGAGGGACAAAAATCATATGATCTTCTCAACAGGCATCAAAAAGATAAAATTCAATACCTCTTCATGACAAAAACTCTCAACAATAAAAAGAAGGTATTTCAAAATAATAAAGAAAGACCATATATATGACAAACCCACAACACAGCTAACATCGTACTTAATGGAAAAAAAGTTGAAAGCCTTTCCTTTAACAACTAAAAGACAAGGATGCCCACTTTCACCACATTTATTCAGCATAGTACTGGAAGTGCTAGCACAGCAATCAAGCAAGAAAGAAATAAAAGGCATCCAAATTGGAAAAAGAAAGAACAATCATCCCTCTTTGCAGACAACATTATCTTATGTATAGAAAAACCTAAAGACTCCACCAAAAAACTCAGAACTGATAAATTCAGTAAACTTGTAATATACAAAAACAACATACAAAAAGCAGCACTCCTATATACCAATAACAAACTAGATTTTAAAAATGAAGGACGTGATCTCATTTATAATAGCTACCAAAACACCACCTAGTAATAAATTTAACCAAGGATGCAAAAGACTTCTACAACTACAAAAAAAATGATGAAAGAAATTGAAGACACAAGCAAACGTAAACACATCACATGCTCAAAGATTGAAGGAATCAATATTTTAAAATAGCCATCCTTCCCAATGCCACCATAGTACTACAGATTCAAGAGACATAATGCAATCCCCATCAAAATACCAACGACGTTCTCAAGAGAAATATAAAAAAAAACTAAAATTTATGTGGAAACACAAAAGATTCTGAATAGCCAAAGCAATACTGAGCAAAATGGAAAAAGCTAGAAGCATCATACTACCTAACATATACTACAAAGCTATAATAACCAAAACAGTATGGTATTAGAATAAAACACATAGACCAATGGCACAATATAAAACCCAGAAATATAGATTAATAGAAAACCGAGAAATTAATCCTCCTATTTACAGCCAACTGATTTTTTAAAAAAGGCACAAAGAGAATACCTTGGAGAAAGAATACCCTCTTCAATAATGATGCAGGGAAAACTAAGTGCTCACAGGCAGAAGAATGAAACTACACCCGTATCTCTTGCCACATACAAAAATCAACTCAAAATGGTTAAAGAGTTAAACATAAGACTCAAAAACATAGAACTACTGGAAGAAAATATGAGAAATGCTTCAGGAAATTGGTCTAGGCAAAGATTTTATGGCCAAGACTTTATAATACAGGCAACAAAACCAAAATAGATACATGAGACTACATTAAGCTAAAAAGCTTCTGCACACCAAAGGAAGCAATCAACAGAGTGAAGACACAACATGCAGAATGAGAGAAAATATTTGTAAAATATTCATCTGACTAGGGATTCATATCTAGAATATACAAAGAACTGAAACAACTCAACAGCCAAAAAACAAATACTACTGATAAAGGAGTTAAGAAATAACTTAAGCAGATGGTAAGGGTATGGGAGTCTTCAGTAAGGCTTTTCTCTTTAATAAAAAGCAGCTTCAAATCATTTTCTAATAAATAGCCTGTAAAGTTGAGCCTCAAAGACAAGCAAGCTGGGAGCTTGCAGAAGTGAATGCCAGCAGGAACTAGGACTAGACATGTTCAAGGTGGTGGCTCCATCTTCCCTTCTCTTTGTCAGCCACTTGTACAATAAAGAACAGACAAGATGGTGCCAATCAACCGGAAAGTCCATTTGCATAAGATTAGGGTGGGGTGACAATCCTTCCCCATGGGCTATGTAAACATCATATGTGATCAAACCAATCTGTGGGTCCTACATAAATCAGACACCACCTTCTCCAACCTGCCTATAAAATCTGCTGCAGTCTGCCACCACACCTCTTTATCAGAGGTCTCTCACACACAAGAGCTCCTCTCTCCTTTCTTCTATTAAACTTTCCACTCCCTAACCCACCCACATGTGTCTGTGTCCTGACTTCTTTCTAAAAGAAAGGGATCAGAAGGTAGAATCATGTGAGTGGTAAATATGGAGAAAAACCTCAAAATCTGTCCTTTAATTGGAATTGAATCAACCCGAATGGAATGGAATGGAATGGAATAGAATGGAATAGAATGGAATTGAATCAACTGGAATGGAATGGAATGGAATGGAATGGAATGGAATAGAATGGAATAGAATCAACTGGAATGGTTGCCTCAGCCTCCATTTTAAAATCAAATTAAATCAATAACAGGCATCTGCCAGCCATTTAAAAATACCATTAGCATGCCTGCCATTCTTAAAGACTCGGATGTCACACCTACTGGAGAGAACATGGAGAATCCCCCAATACCTATGGGTTTCTGGGCATATGGCATATGGGCCATGTTTGAACCAGCCTCCTTTCATGGAAGACGTAGCCATTGTATGGGGCTGGAAGAAGTCCTGGGGCAACTGAGAACTTCTGGCTGGGGCTACCCCTGAGTGTTACCCAAAGGCTTATGGACTGACCTCGGCCTCTGACCACCCTGGTGGGGTGTTGGCAACAGGATCTCCAACTTTCCTATCATAATTTCCTCCTTTCTCGTCCATGACCATCACATCTCTTAATCTCTCTATGTATGCAATGTGTAGGAAGTTTTACAATTCAGGGAAATAATCTTGTTTGGAAAGATCTGGGAATGTTGTAGTAACTGTGGATATAGCTCAAAGGTAGGCATCTTTGGGATTTTCTAGGAACAGAGGCCCCCACCCTCGCACCCCCCACAGTGAGCATCACTCTCTGCCCTTGGTCTGGAGAGTTCATGGCATTTCAAGGTCAACAGCACCAACTAGTGGAATAGGTACTCTCTCCATGAGGCACATTGTCAGTCCTTTATCAAAACACCCTGGCTTCCCAATTCTTTGCCCTTATTGCACCCCTCTTCTAGAGACCAGGCTTTATGTTGCTTCTGCAAATGGGAAAACTCTACCTTCAACAATTAAGAGCAAAATATCCTCCAAAGCCAGATTTTAGTGTCAATACTATCCCATCAGCAGGAAAATGGCCATTTGATACCTACTTTCTTTTAAGGCACGTATTCTGCTTCCATTTAGAATAGTACTTAATTAGTAAGGGTATTTTAAGTTTGGAAGTTAACTGGAACCATTCTCTAAGGGTAGATGCTTTAACACGAACCATACTAGCAGGATATAGAGCTCAAATCAGCACACTTCCTCCATCAAGGAGGAAAGTGCAACAGATGCTTAAATGCAACTGTCACATAATCTCTCCTGAGATACATTTTTTGAGGAGTCAGGCAGGTTACACAAGTCCAGGAAGTCAAAGCAAAATCACAAGCAGAGGACTAGAGCCACTTGGGTGAGCATTACTAACCCCAATGGCTTAGTTCCTCTGGTTCTATGGCTGAGGGTCATGCCTGCAGCCACGGTTGGTGATGCCAGGACCCAGGAACCATTTAGGAAAAAAACAAAAAAAAAACAAAACACAAAAAACAGCAGGGGGAACGCCTCCACTGTCTTCCTTTCCACTCTGGGTCACACCAAAAGGAAGGAGACTAAACAGATGCCTTTTTCTCACTTCTCTTTCTAGATGGGTATCATCTTCAGCATGCACTCCCCTGGGGTGCATTCTGAAGCACTGGAACTCCTTTCACCCTGAGATTTTAAAGAAAAAGTGGCTTGTTTTCTTCTACATAAGGGCATTGCCTTTTTGCTAGACCTTTGCAAGCATTGCAAAATCAGCCCGGCTCTTTTAGCAATCATATCAGACAGGCACAGAGAGAATTCCCCAAAATTAGAAAAGCAACTCCTGGGGGAACCATTTGAGGCAGCCATTGAGCATCCTGGCCCTTTCATTCCCCATTATCTGGGGCCAGCTCCAACCACACCACCAGCTCCTCCATCTCCACCATCTCCAAAATTTCCCATTCCGCCACCTTAGCTCTTAACCCTGCAGAAAATGTCCAATGGAGGTGATGCCACGAGGGTTCAACTTCCATTCTCATTGCAGGACCTTAGGCAAGTAAAGGGAGACTTAGGCCAATTTTCTAATGACCCTGATAGGTATATAGAAGCTTTCTAAAATTTAACTCAGATATTTGACTTCTCATGGAGGGATGTTATGCTGCTCCAAAGCTTAACCCCAACTGTAGGTGAAAAACAGGCAATTCTGCAGGCAGCAGAGAATTTTGGAGATGAGCAATATGTCTCCTATAACAGGCAAAAAGGGAAAAGAGAAAATCGGGAAGGTGAAGAAATAGGGGAAACACCACTGTTGATAGGAAAGGAAGCAGTACCTCTTTGACAACTCTGATATCCCAGACTTTTGTATGGTGTGGTTCCTTCTTTTACGGTATAAAATGGCTATCTTTTTTTATAATGTTCTTCCAACCTGGGAAATGTTAATTTTCCAAACCTTAAAATGCTTCTCTAGTTGAGCTAGGGGGAAGGGAACCCAGAAGCCTGACATGCCAGCAAAAGGGTAGAAATTTCTTACCATTCAGGCTTTTGGCCTCTCTCTTCCCATGCAAACTGGTAAAAGAGGTAACAAGGATCATTGTTTATATTATCTGTAAAGTTTAAATTAATGAAAAGGGATTTGTGAGGTTAGTCTTAAGCTGTAGCAAATCTGGTGTGCTTTGTGTGTCTTTCTGTCAAAAGAAAACATATGTTAGGCTAGGATGCAGACCCAGGATCCCATAAGCCTCCTGTTCATGCCAGCCCAACAAAACAGTCTATAACAAACTTGGCTACAGGCTTCCATATTGTTTCATGTCTTTGGGAGCAATACCTGTAACCACGTGGCAATACTTTTAGTCTCCACCATTTTACAGTGGTGGGTATCTTCCTGTGCTAAGTCAGTTCCTGGGTGAGGGCCAGAAAATCAGATAAGTTAGTTTGTTGATCTAGGTGGTACCAGCTGATCTATCAATGACAGTGTTTACAAAATACCTTAAGCTCTGATCTTGAGAGCAGTTAAGGGAGGGTCAAAATTTTGTAGCCTTCAGCTGCGTGACTCCTGAGCCATGGTTCCTGATCTTGTGGCTAGTTTCTTGGTCTGGTCCCCAGACAAGAGGGAAGTATATCTTCAGAAGGGGCTATTATCTTTGTTTTGGACTATAAACTGTAAACCAGGCTCCTCCCAAAGTTGGTTCAGCCTACACTCAGGGATGGGCAAGGATAGCTTAGGGGCTGGAAACAAAATGGAGTTGTTTGGGTCAGATCTCCTTTACTGTCTCAGTCACAATTTTGCAATGACAGTTTCAAAAGCTGCTTACCACCACTTTGAAAATACCTTGTACACTCATGGTTAAGTCACAAACTAACTCAGGCTTGTTGGTTTCACCTGTGAGGTTACTTTTTATAAAGTTCAAAAGCTGAAAATCTTAACTGCTTAGCGTGGCTAAAGTTGAGTAACAAGAGATTTAAAATAATTTTCTTAAAGAGTGCTCAGCTTAATTCAAAGCAGATATCCAAGTTCTAGATTTTTTTTAAAAGGCCTTTATGTTTGTCTCTTCTTGAATCTTGCTTTCCTAGAAAAAGCCTTTTCTTCTCAGTCAACTGAATCATTTTTCTCCATTTTTTGTCTTGCCACTCTTAATGTACACATGAGAGGCCCTAAGACAACTTCTGGTAGCCTGGAACTCCTTGGGAAAAAAACAGAGGTGACACCACAAACTCTCTTTTGAGAAAAAACCTGTTTTTCTCACAAAACCCCAGGAATTAAAAGCAGATAATTCCCTCTCAAAACCAAAGGCTTTGCTGTTTTTCATTGTGTTATCTGACAGTTTTGAGTTTTAGAGGTACCAAATTACCTCGCATCATGATAGAGCTTTAGTGTGGGGAATAACTAGAGAGAAAACATACTTTAAGGGATGTCTAATCGTAGTTACGGAAGGATAGTTAACTCTTTGCACTTTTGAATCAGAGAAGCATACTCTTGGTCACCTGAAACATACAAACTTCCCCACTCCCCCAAGAGATAAGAATCATGTGGGGGTTGGGCTGATTACAAAATAAGCTGAATGGATTTGGGTTGCCTTGCAATGAAATGCATGGTAAAATTACCATACTCTCTTCTCCCATAGGCTCTCCCTCCTTTTGGGGATCCAAAATCCATTATAAAACGGCACCAATATTTTTGGGGGGTCTGTCTTTGCCTTCAGCTGTGCCTGTTTTTTATGCCCTAGAAATGCATGCCTTCCTGGCCCTGTTCCTCCAAGGGCTCCGCCCTGAAGCCAATAATCCCAATAAGAAACTGGCAAATGAAAAATCATACTAGTTCTGAATTCTGTGTTGCTATATATGTGTTATGCGTAATGTCTACAAAAAGAGCTCTAATTGATTAAAGAAAAATAAGCACTTAAAATATTTTTTAGCTCACATGACTATAATCTTTAAGAAATAAAAATAGCCTTAAGGATTATTGGCAAAATGCAAGTGTCGTCAAAATGCAAAAAGGTGGTCTTAATCATACCACTTAGATACTAGGCTTGCTAAATGTTCCAAGGTTGTATACTGCATGCTTTACAGATAGGTAAGGCCTGGGACATGTGGAGTCAGACCTACTCTGCAATTCTGTCTGGTTCCTAGGCTCCACACCTGATACATAAAGTTGCTTACTAACCAGGTTTTTCATTAAAAGTTGCAAAGAGTTAACAGTGCAACATGTGTTTGAAATCACTAAACAGTTTTATTTGCAAGGTGTCTTTTAGTAAAAGATTATAAGAAAGCATGGAAATGTAAATTTTGCCCAGGGATGAGGGATTATCTTAAATTTGATATAATAAAGCTAAACACATTTAAGTTGTGAAAAGATTGTAAAAATTAATCTTGCAAAAATGTGTAAACATTAACTAAATTCAAAGGGTATTATATGGTCTTTTTATAAATTGAGCATTGAAATAAAAGCACAGCAAGACTGTCTTAAGACACTAACCTCCTCTTTAGCAAAAGCAGTTATAAAAGGCTTGTACAGATTTCACCTCATGTTCAACTTGGTTAAGATTATATGAAATTGTCTGAGGTTTCATTAAACATTGGGGTTAACATTAATAAACTAATGCAAGGGTAAAAATTTGGCTTTTAACAGGATTTTCATGCAATAGTAAAGGCTAATAAAAGATTTTTGCTTTTTGAGTCATCATTTTGGCAAAATAAATAATTTATGGTAATCTGGGATTCTATTTCATAACATCAAGTGTTTTAAATCTCTAACATTTAACAGGCATCCCAAAAATCAAACTTCTAGTATCCAAATTATCTTCCCTGAGCTGGGATTTCTGGATGGCTCAGAAGGCCCCTGAAACTTTCAGAAAAGAGGTAAACAGGATTATTTGACATGTTTAGTTGCATGGGATTGCCAAAATGATGTACAATTTAAGTTATATTTTAGTGAATAATACTAAGATATGTTCCAACAGTGCATGGGATTTCTAAAATTCTAATGTCTGAGTATATGCTATCAATCATAATTAAGGGTAAAATTATTGTAAACCATGGAGATAACTAAACTTCTTAGTCATGTTTTTAACTAACTACCCTGGAAACTTTGTCACCATTTGCAGACAATTGTCACCTTGCTTTGTTCCTTCTCAAAATGTGGTTTATCATCAAGCCATATTAAGGACCTTAACAGGTGATTGCAAATGCAGGTTTTCAATAGTTTTGAAGATTGTAACATTGGAATAGAGAAAGAATGTATGGGACTTATGAAGAACTGAAATGTTTATGTGTCAAACAAAACAAGAGTTAACTAATGGACTGTACTCAGAAAGTTAAAGCAACCTTTTTGGAATATTTTGCTTGAAGTATTTCTGATCCTTGTTTTGTTTTTTAGACTCAAGGAAACATACTTTTAACTTTTTAAAGCTTTTAATAATTGAGTAAGGTATACTTCTGTGAACAAAATTTGGAGCATGTTTCTCTCTGCCTAGTTCCTCTAGAAATTGGAAACTATCTGTGAGTACTCTTAACTTATGGCAATATAGTTGTTTGCATCATCGCAATAATAATCCATTTTTCTTTTGCAATGGGACACAATTGGAAAACTGGTTATTTTATCAAGGCTTTGACTGGAAGTATATGCTTCCCTTTAAGGAGTCAATCTCGACTTGCAGAGCTGATAAAAGCCCCTTGGGGAAGACTGGCCTCATACCTTGTCTACACAGTCCCCACACAGGGTTCCTAACCTGTGGTCAGTAAAGAATGTCACTTTCTAACAGGTCCACGAACTCCAAGTTTATCTTGGAACATTAAGAGAAAAGGATCACCCAACTCACAGGTATTAGAGAATATAAACCTATGGCCGGGCTCAGCTTTAAAAGGTCCTATCTAAGATTCCTTGTGGAACTGAGTTCCATCTAAGCCAATCCAAAAGAGCTATGTAGAAATAACCATTCTTGCTGAACTTTATTCCAAATAATCAGGCCAAGTATAAGGTTAAAGTTTTTTCTACAAACAACATGGTCCTATCATAATTTGTTTTTTTACCAAAAATGAGGACTGGAGAGATAAAAGTTATGCTCCAAAGCATATCATACATGTCATTAAATCCTTGTCTCACTAATTGTTTTTAAGTTTTTTTGCCTACATTTTAGACTAATCCTGCTTATTCCTGTAATCAAATGGTGATTTCCTGCAGCTTGGAAGAAACAAAAAGGGATGGGTAACACAAAAATCTGGATTAATATGCTAGTTCTGAGCAATTATCCTGCAAATCCTGCCAAGCAGTGAAAGTAAATAGGATGCCCATAACCTGGAGTTTTGTTTAGGAAAATAAAACCAAGGAACTTCATAGACCCCCAAAGATAAATTCTGTATCTTGACAAGTAAGATTTTATGTGGAAAGTACCTACTACACCACACTTGCAAGATTTGCTATACTCACTCTGCTATTTGCAGTAGGGCTATAAACAGTAGCACCTTCTAACTGGAATAGTGGACACAGAGTTTCCATTGCTGTAGTATTTTGCTTAATTATTATCCTTATAGCAGGGATAATAGTTTCACCAAAAAGGAAGTATGAAAGGATTATAAAGATGGTAAATACTTGTCCTAAAAATAATAGTTGGTTGTTTAAAAAGAAGGATGCTTAGGAGAAGTTAGAAAGTTTAAACATGCCTTAGATGGTCTGCAGAAGTCATGAGGGGATTAATAATTGCAGGAAAGATTTAGCCAAGGTCAATACTAAAGTTACTCTAGCCACCCAAATCCAATGCCACTTATTCAAAAAAGAATGTTACTTTTATATTAATATTTAGCAGCATCTGGTGGAGGCAAACCAGTATCACAACCCATTAGAATGATTGAGAGCAATCAAACTGCAAATGGTGCTGCAGACCAAACAAACATGGACACACCTTTCTTCTGAGGACCCTTAGATTGACCCCAGGAGGAGCCCTAGCTGCTTTTCCCCACATGATACCCCTTTCAGCAGGAAGTAGCCAGAAAAAGTTGTCATCCAACATTCTCTAACAGCAGTTAGGGTTACCACTGCAGAGGGTGGAATGATATAGGACTTAAGAAATTACTTAAGCAGAGAGTAAGGGCATGGGAGTCTTTGGTAATGCTTTTCTCTTTAATGAAAAGCAGCCCCAAATCATTTTCTAACAAAGAGCAGCCTATAAAGTAGAGCTGCAGACAGACAAGCAAACTGGGAGCTTGCACAGGTGAATGCCAGCAGTAACTAGGGACTACACATGTTAAAGATAGCAGCTCCATCTTCCCTTCTCTTTGTCAGCCATGTGCACAGTAAAGAGCAAATGGTGCCAATCTTACTGGTGTCAATCAACAGGAATCAAGATGGTGTCGATTAACTGGAAAGTCCATTTACATTCTAGGTTGGGGTGACCAGTCTTCCCTGTGCACTATGTAAACCTCGTGCCTGATCAACCAATCTGTGAGCCCTATGTAAATCAGACACCACCTTCTCCAGCCTTCCTATAAAATCTGCTGCAGTCAACCACCTCCCCACTTTTTTGGACATGTCTCTCTCTCTCTGTCTCTCTCTCTCTCTCCCCCCTTCTCTTCTCTCTCTCTCTCCCCCTCCACCTCCCTAGGACCTGCTCTCCTCTCTCCTTTATTCTATTAAATTTTCTACTTCTTAACCCACTCACATGTGTCTGGGTCCTGAGTTCTTTCTCAGCATGAGACGATGAACCCCAGGGTACATATCCCAAGCAACATAGCCATATCACTATTAAAAAGTGGGTAAACGATCTGAATAGACATTTCTCAAAAGAAGACATACAAATGGCCAAAACATATTTAAAAAATTTTCAATATCAACATCATCAGTCATCACAATGAGAACCACAATGAGAAGATCTTCTCACCTCAGTCAGAATGGCTATTAACAAAAAGACAAAAAATAACAACTGCTGGCAAACATGTAGAGAAAAATTGAACCCGTATATACTGTTCATGGGAATGCAAATCAGTACAGACATTATGGAAAACAGTACAGAAGTTTCTCAAAAGACTAAAAGTAGAAATATCATACAATCCAGCAATCCCACCACTAGGTATTTATCCAATGGAGAGGGAATCGGTACATCAAAGAGATACCTTCACCCCCTATGTTTATTGCAGAACTATTCACAATAGCCAAGATAGGAATCTAAGTACCCATCGAGTAAATGGATAAAGAAAATGTGGTATAAAAATACAAAATAGAATATCATTCACTATAAAAAAGAAATTCTGTTATTTGCAGCAACACAGAAATGGAGGTCGCTATGTTAAGTCAAATAAGGCAGGCACAGAAACAGATATTGCATGATCTCAATTACATGTGGGAGCAAAAAAAGTTGATCTCATGGACTTATACACTAGAATGACAGTTACGAGAGTCTAGGAAGGGTGGAGGAGGAGGATGAAGAGAGGTTAGTCAATAGGTACAAATATGCAGTTGGAATAAATTCTAGTGTGTGGTAGTAAACATGTAATTTATTGTATATTTCAAAATGCATGAGACTACATTAAAGTTAGAAGAGTCAAAATGCCCCCAACACAAAGAAATGGTAAACATTTGAGGTGATGGATATCCTAAATACCCCAATTTGATCATTCCTCCACATTGTATAAATATATCAAAATATGATATGTACCCCATAAATATGCACAATCATTATGCATCAATTTATGAAGTATGTATTGCCCTGTAAGGCACAGTGAAGTATAAACTTGTACCTACTTGTATTTACAAGTGTGTGTGTACATACACACACATATATACTATATATACACACTATATATAATACATACACATATACACTTGTATATACAGTGAAGTATAAGCCTGTATTTAGAGGGATTAGACATGAGGACTCTTGTTAAGTCAGACTATTTACCAAATGCTTGAGAACAAGGACTGTACCAGAAATCTGTTTTAAACACTACAATGTCTTTTACAGAAAAAATAATACTATCAACATCATGGACATAACTTACTTTTTATAAGGATTCAGAAAGAATTAGAGGGTGTTGTTAGGTCTCAAGTCACATTACACACCTGTGGATGCCAAGATTAAAACTTTGCTGCCTTGTGTAAAGCAATAGCATTTTTATGTACTTCAACCTTTGTGTTGTAAAAAAAAAAAAAAAAAAAAAAAAAAAAAAAAAAAAAAGAGTAGTAGTATAAATTATTTTTAGTTCTGGATAAACATATGCTTACTGTATTCAAGGAGTTTAAATCGGTGTTAAACCACTTTTAAGAGCAGTTGCTGTAAAAAGAACAAGTAGGAATGTCCAACTCATTCTAATTGACAGCTTATATAAATTGAATTTCTTGTATAATTATTATTCACTTAAATGATAAATAGAGTCTAAGACTATGCTTCCTCTGAAAGTATTGGTAGTTTAGGTCTGTTTTTCATTATGACATACACATACTTTTAGAAACATCTAACACACTGGGAATCAGTATGATCTCTTGTTTTTAGCTTCCTTTACTCTAACAGGGCACCATCTGTCCAAAGACATTTAGGCCTTTCAACAGTATACATGATATAACAAATAGTGATGATTTACCTTGCTGGGCAAATCTGCCACCCATTTCTTCTAGGTAGAGTGTCAGATTTTAAAATTAAAATGTTTATACGAAGAGTATAATGGGGAATACATTCCCCTTAACTTCTCAAATTCACAACTCACTTAACAGATTATTGGGGATATGCTGATTTTTCTTGTACACTAACCTAGAGAGGAACAAGAGAGGTTGGAATAAAGCCAAGCAGGAGCAGAGCAATTGATCCAGGTTCAGCCAGTCACAAGCATGAAAGGTCCTCAAGTGAATACACATGGAGGAAGAAAGATGCACATGGAGAAAGGCTGAGATTCCAGAGGTCAGCGTATTTGGGATTGAATGCAAGTCCTTGGCTAGAAAGGGTGAGTATGTATGCAAGAAGTTAGGATAGAGGCAGAGTTTAGGAATAAATTTGGGACACTAGAGTGTGCAGAGTCAGAAGCAATCTTAGGGTAGGTCCAATATATAAAATGTAGGAGATGAGAGGATGGGGGAAATAAAAATAGAAACTTGAATTTCATCTCCTGACTTGTAAATACTTATTATTATAAGCACGTGTCTCAGAATCATGAAAGGCTAGTTCAAAGCGGATGCTACAAACCGAACTGTGTTGCCAAAACCTTCACAATAAAACTCCTGCCTGGCAGTCTAGAGGGCATATCATTACTTTCTAAGCTTTTAAAATGCACTGCATTTGAAGGAGCCTGTTGAACTATATAGGGGTCCTTTGAAAATATTCTCTCTAAAGAGCACCCTCATTTGTAAAGATCCTTTTGTTTAGGAAGCACCTTTGTGCTTAGCTCTGAAAATGCATTAACTGAAGAGGTTGTTTCCTTTCTTAGTTCTACTCAATTGTATTTTACCTTGACTGTCTTTATGGGAAAATGGTCCTTTTTATCATTCAGAAATTATTTTCTTTAAAAAAGTCATACATTCTTCTTGCTAAAATTTCTCCCTGTATATTCAATCAGTAATGAAGAAAGTCATTCTCTTCAACTGACCAAGTATGTTTAAACATTCAAACTTTAAAATATGCCCTGGTAGTATAAAAAAAACAAAGTAATATAAGCTTTGTTCTTCTCACATATAAATAGATGGGTATAACATCCAATTGATGAGAATTTTGTTTAAAAATTGAAAAATTTAATGCTTTTAAGACTAAAATAGAATATTGTCCTTCAAGAGACAAAGTCCTCTTCATAAAGATCTCTATAGCTGTTTATTAAGCTTTATAAGAGATAAATAAAATGAATTTCCCATGCTGTTTTGAAAAATGATCAATAACTTCTGTTACTGATCAGACTGGAGGATGAAGTGGATGGCAGACTATGAAATATTAATACTATATATATTAATACAATGTTAGAGGCACTCTTTTTACTCATCTTGATACTATGTTAGCTCCTCTAAGTGAGAAACTCCCTTTCAGCGGTCACAATGACACTTGCATAGAAGTATTCAACACACGTTGACTATAAAATTCAACTGTCTATGATGACTTGTAATCAAGCTCAGATAGCAGTTTGGTGGATCCTGTTGGAGCTCGGAGAATGCTATCCCAAAGTACCTTGAACTGAAATAGATTGGGAGAGGCTCAGAAGGAAGAAAGTCACTCTGATCTTCCCGCACTATTCTGTGTGATAACTGGCCATAAAATAATTCTATGACTTCCTTTGCCTGCAAGGAAGTTGCAGGGGTTGCGGGGAAGGAATGCAACACAATGAAACCAAGAAGAATTCAAACAGCCAGGCTCTGCTAGGTTTCCTTTCTCAACCTATTATCATTAGATCAGATCCTTTTGTCCAGTTGTATTTCTACATGGCTGAGCATTATTCATCCAACCTGAACATAAAAATAGACACTTTCCCTGGGTCTTTAAGTCTTTATTTAATAAAAACTTTGATGAAATAAATTTGTTCTGCTTTTTTTCTTGTTAATCTGTCTTTTGTGTAGAAATGTCATACATAACTCTAATGATGAGGGAAGAAAGAAATCATATCTTTCCACTCTTACAATCCCAATCTTTTCACCACCTAAGACTTCTCTCCTTATATTTCCCTCTCATGGGGTACAAGAAATGCTACTCCAAAGTATGGCAGCTTGGAAATTGAGAAAACAGCAAAAGCAGAAAGGTCTCTGACCTTCCTCCTCCCTTCTCCCCTGAAGACCTTCACGTGACAGGTGGTCTGCCTCACACTTGGAGGGAAGTAATATCACACAAGGACACCAGAAAGAACCTGAATAAACAGGACTTGCTAAGTTCTCCCATTTCTTACCATTAGCTTATACTCCTTTTTCTTCCAGTTGTAATTCTTCTGTATAATTATCCAATTTTCATCAAACGTAAGCATAAATATACACAGTTTTCCCTGCTTTGGGGGGTCTTCAGTTCTAAAGGTTCCTGTGTCATATAAAACTTAGATTAAGTAAATGTGAATGCCTTTCTCTTATTATCTTTTATTAATAGAAGTCACAGCCATGACCCTTGCTATGATGAGGAAAATATTACTTTTTCTTCCCTATACCTCTAGAGACTATATATTTTGAAAGATATCTAAAAACTGGAATTAATAATTTTTTACAAGACAATCATAAATTTTATTAATCTCAAAACTGTAAAGTTCAAAAGAATGTCAAGCTAAGGTATTAGAATTGCACAGAATTGAGCTAGATTCCTGGGTTGTGTCAATTTGTATAACTACATATCTATTGAATCTCATATAAAGGAAAAACAGATGAAATTCAACTAAAAATACTATGTAAAGAGTCAGGCAAAAATAAATATGATGTACTAGAAATGAACCTGCAGAAAGCTATGAAAAACCTTGATGGTTAATTAATAACACTTAAAATAAAGGTATAAAAGGCCACGATGAAGTAGTAAATTATATCCATAGATTGGAAATCCCAAAACTGTAAAGATGTCAATTTCTCTTTCCAAATTTATAATTGAATGCATTTCAATCAAAATCTTAACATGTTTAATGGAGAAAGCATCAAAGTCAACTAAAGATTTATGGACATGCCATTAGAGAAATGCAAATCAAAACCACAAATAGATACCATCTCATGCCAGTTAGAATGGCAATTATTAAGAAGCCAGGAAGCAACAGATGCTGGAGAGGATATGAAGAAATAGGAATGCTTTTACACTGTTGGTGGGAGTGTAAATTAGTTCAACCATTGTGGAAGACAGTGTGGTGATTCCTCAAGGATCTAGAACTAGAAATACCATTTGGCCCAGCAATCCCATTACTGGATATATACCCAAAGGATTATAAATCATTCTACTATAAAGACACATGTGCATGTATGTTTATTATGGCACCATTCACAATAGCAAAGACTTGGAACTAACCCAAATGTTAATCAATGATAAGCTGGATAAAGAAAATGCAACACATATATACCATGGAATACTATATAGCCATAAAAAAGGATGAGTTCATGTCCTTGCAGGGACGTGGATGAAGTTGGAAACTATCATTCTCAGCAAACTAACACAGGAACAGGAAATCAAACACTGCATGTTCTCACTCCTAAATGGGAGTTGAACAATTAGTACACATGGACACAGGGAGGGGAACGTCAAACACTGGGGCCTGTTGGGGTATGCGCCACTTGGGGAGGGATAGGATTAGGAGAAATACCTAACGTAGATGACAGGATGATGGGTGCAGCAAGCCACCATGGCACGTGTGTACCTATGTAACAAACCTGCATGTTCTGCACATGTATCCCAGAACTTAAAGTATAAAAAAAAAGATTTATGGATATGCAAAGGGCCATCAGAAGCCAACATACACTTGAAAAGAACAAGGTGAAAGATAATTTTCCAAGAACATCAACTTATCTCAGCACAACAATTAAATTGACATTTGATTTATGCTAGGCATATAGAACACTGATGCAGAATGCTGAGTCCTGAAACACATCATACATTAATGGACTCTTGATATGTCATATATGTTTTTAAGTCACTGGAAAGCAGTGGGAAAAGTATGATCCTATCAGTTGATGAGCAGGGCACAATTGGATATTGATAAGGTAAAATAAAATTACAACCCTATCTCCTATCATATACAATGCCCATGTGTATTTGATGCCTAAGTGTGGAAAATAAAGTGACAAAACTTTTAGAGGATAATAAAACAGAATATCTTGACAACCTTGGTTTAGGAAAGGTTTTCTCAGGCAAGACAGTAAAAACAAAACTACTAAAGACTTTAATGACGAGAAAAGAAAAAGAAAAAACTAGGCAATTACTCAAATTATGCCTCTCAAAATTATCAAAATCTGCGAGCTTTGTGTTACCAGTATGAGATATGGGAAATATGTATCTAAAGGAAGCTTTTAGAAACTTTAACAACAATTTGATGGGGAAAGGGTCTATTGAGTATGATTTTAAAATTGTTTGGATTTAGAATGTCTTTATTTTTATGTTATTTCATTTCACTGCATTTTAATAATGTATCAGCCAATGCCTGGAAAAAAATGTTAACGGTTCACAGAGTTTAATAGTGAAATAGGCATTATAAGACAATGCAAAAAATTAAAAAATTCTATTTATTAAAGACACCCCAAGATTCATTAAAAGACATTCCCAAGGCATGCAACTGAAGAAAGTGTTACAAGTTCTTTTATTTTTATGTATTAGTGCACATTTAAAACACCAAAGGAAATAAACTTGCATACAATAGTTTCACTCTCTATCGAAAACTTTTAAAACTTTACTTGCAGCTTCTTTCACGTCTCTACATAGTGTATTTCTTCCTTAAGTTTTTCAACTTTAGACATTATTTACTGACTTCTTAGTATGATAGCTGAGGATTTGGTTCACTTTTGCCACGATTTGCTTCGCTTAGTATATTGCTATTTGGATTATCTATATTGGTGACCATTAAAAACCCTTGTAAGTAATACAATTGTTGCAGCTCTTTGTTTTTCCTTCTATCAAGATTAGATAATCTTTCATTTTATACACAGCAAGAAGAGACTGCTGTCCTTGTCCACTGCTTTTAGCTCTCCTTTCCATTTTTCCATCTACCTTCTGCCATAGATACACTTGGCATTTCTTACTTAAAAAAATTTGCCTTTATAATCGCCTCATTTGCTCCCTCAAACATCCCACTGATTCTACCAAATCTTTTTTTTTCCCTGGAGATCTGCCTCCTAGATTCTCTTCTGCTTTAGTCTGGACTAGATACTCTTTAGGTCAGCTGCACAGGTATCTTTCTGGAATGTTCCTTTATTATTTCCTGATTTTGCATCCACTGCTTGCTGCTTCTGATGGGCTGAATATTGTCCCCACCACCAAAAAAATACATTTACATCCTACTCCCCAGAACCTGTAAATGTTACCTTATTTCTTTTAAAGGATTTTTGTAATTAAGGATCTTGAGATGAGATGATCATTCTGGGCTATCATGGTGGGCTCTAAATCCAGTGAGACACACAGATGGGAATTTTGAGATGGACATACAGAGGGGAAGACACCCAGAGGAGGAGAAGGTAGTGTGATTATGGAGACTGAGATTGGAGTGAAGCAGCCACAAGCCAAATAACTTATGGGGCCAACAGAAGCCTGAGAAGGCAAGGCCTGAGTTCTCATGGCCTTCAGGGCCACTGTGGTCCCTCCTGACACTTTGATTTGAGACTTCTGGCCTCCACAACTATCAGAATAAACTTCTGTTTTTCAGCCATCCAGTTTGTTATGGCAGCCATAGGAAACTCATACACTAGTTAAGGACAGGACTGAGATGAGACTAGCGAGGCAGATGTGTGGACATAAAAGTTAACGGGGCACCAAAACACTCAATTTTAAGATAAATAACATTTTATAAGGTAATTTTTTAAAAAGTAAAAATAAATGCAAAAAATCCCATAATGGAAAAACAAAATCAAAACACACACAAAAAGGCTCTGAACTTGCACCTTTGGCCTCATGCTAGTCCCAAACCTATTGCTAGTCAAGGACCTTCTCCTCTTGGATACGTGGTTACAAAAATTAACTTTCTAGCAAAGATTTGAGACACTTTCTGAGCCCTTGTGCATCTGACAATGTATTTTATACTCACATGATTAATAGTTTGAATGTTTAAATAACTAGTTTGCAGAAAACTTTTCTCAAAGTAATAAGGAACATTGTTTTATGATTTTACACTTAGTTTGTTGAGGAGTCACAGGGAGACTGAGTATGTTTTGGTATGTATGTGCGTTTTTCTCTGAAACTTTTATTTATCCTTCATTTTCTTAAATCGTATAGTAGATCCACTATAAGCTTTCCCCGCCCATCCCCACCTCCTGCAACCTGGCTCAGCACTTGGTAGACCCTTTCAATCAGAAGATCTCTCAGGGATGTTATTTTATATATTTGTAAACGTCCTTCCCCTCCATTTAATCTTTTCTGGTTTTCTTGCTACCCGGATACTCTAGAACTCTTGACCTAATCCTACTTTTTCTTCCAGCTTTTTTAAAAATAGAACAGATCTTATAGACTTCCTGTATTCCTTGAACCCTTCTTTTTCTTTTAAAATTTCTACTAAAATATCTAAGTTCTTAACAAACCTAATACATTTTAAAACTATAAGTTATAAATATAATAAATTAAATGTTTAAGAGCTCATTTTTGTTCTTCTTTTGGAGTTTCTTTTATTGGTTTATAAATATGTACAATGTTTCATCAATTTCCTCTAAGAGTACTAGTATTTATTATAAAATTGTTTCCTTCAATTATCTTGGGATTATTTTATTTTTCTACTGTTCACTTTTGCCTTTCTCTGTTGTGTTGCAAAAATTTTGTAAATGTCTGGTGATACTGTTGTAAATTTATATTAAGTGTGAGCCAGTTGAAATATTTGCTTGTGTCTGTTGATTGGGGAGAAAGTCAGTATCCAACTCTGCTGTAGTGTGAGTGAGAAAGAAGTTCCCTATTGTGCTGGGAACATCTTGATGACAGTGATACAGGAGTGCTGGGAAGGGAAGACCCTTTAAATGAAGGGGGCAGGGAAGTGCCGGGTAGAGAAAGGCAGGTCCCTGGCTGGGGCTCCACCCTCACGGACCTAGGTGAGCATGAGCACTCCTACTTTCACACCCAAATGTTGCATTTTCCAAGACCACATTCCCATCCTGGGCCTGTAAAAGCCTGAGACCCTAGTGGGCAGACACACAGGCGGCCAGACGTCAAGAGGAGCACATCGGCGGAAGAAGACACAAGTGGCTGGATGGCAAGAGGGCATGAGGGAGCACTCTGGCAGAAGAGCACACCAACTAATAGTGGCAGGCCTGCAGGCCATCTACCGGCGGGACGAGGCAGAGTTTGACCCGGCAGTTGGAGGAAAGCTGGGGCCACCCAGCAGCCCAACTCTGGGGGAAAACCATCTCCCTTCTGGCTCCCCCATTGGCTGAGAGCTACTTCCATTCAGTAAAACTTTGCACTCATTCTCCAAGCTCACGTGTGATCTGATTATTCCAGTACACCAAGGCAAGAACCCGGGATACAGAAAGATCTGTCCTTGCGACAAGGTAGAGAGTCTACTTGAGCTGCTTAACACAAGCCTCCGGTAGACAGCAAACTAAGAGAGCACCCTGTATCACACACGCCCACTGGGGCTTCAGGAGCTGTAAACATTCACCCCTAGACACTGCCATGGGGTTGGAACCCCATAGCCTGCCCATCTGTATGCTCCCCTAGAAGCATGAGCAGTGAGGCAGTGAAGAAACGAGCCACTCCCCATGTCACACACCCTGCGAGGGGGACAGGCGAACCTTTCCCGTTTCAACTGGGGCCTCACCCAGGATCCTGGAAGGTGAGCGTGGACGAAGGGAAACTGTCAGGTCTGCCTTTCCTCCAAAACCCTGCCACCTTTTCCTGCTGGTAAGAGGCTCTGTTTCCCTTCACCGGGCTTTAAAAAACTCCACTCTAACTGGGCTGGTCAAAAGCCCCAGACTTTCTCTCTTTTCTCTCACATGGTTTGAAATGGCTCTTATCACTTTCTTTACAATGTAAAGAGTTTTGGTACAGGCTACAGCAATGTTACTAAGTAAAGTGAGGATTTGGCTCAGCTGCCGAAGGTGTAAATCACACTAACTATTCCTAGAGGTGTCATATATGCCTTCACCTCGACAGCCGCAGACACTCATGGTTCAGGGGCACCTCTCCTTAACCTTTCCCAGCAGGCAAAGGCTAGTCCAGCAGCCATGAGTGGGGCTGGAGAAAACAGGCAGTAACCAGGACCCGACTGTATGCTCCCCTAGAGGGGTGAGCAGCGGGGCACTGAAGAAGCAAGCCATACCCCCATCACACACTCTGCGAGGGGAACAAGGGAACCTTTGCCATTTCAACAGAATGCAGAGTTCTTTGCTGCTCTGACCTCTCCAGTCTACTCAGTTTTTAAGAAGATGCTGCTTCTTTTACCTTGGGAGTAATGGCTACTTGTTGAGTATTCTGCACAAAGTAAACAGGGAAGAAGATGTAGCTACAGCGATAGAATTAGATATCTCATTAATATCCCCACTTCCTCATTCTGCCCTTTCTCCCTCACTCCTACCTTGGGGTTTTTTCTTGGTACTGAAGCGTCTTCAACATTCAGCCGGCCACATCAACTGCAATCAAACTGGGCCTGGTCTAAACCAGTAGTTTTTATACTTGAGTGTGCACCAGAATCACCTGAAGGGCTTGTTAAAACATGGATTGTTTGGGCTCCACCACCATCATCTTTGATTCAACAGATCTGGAATAAAGCTAAACAATTTTCATTTTTAACAAGTTCCCAGATGATGCTGATGCAGCTGATCAGGGACCACACTTTCTGACAGCCATGGCTCCACGCCACAGTTTACCTAATCATTCTGAATATCACAAGCATCTGGGGCCCCTGTTACAGAGTGGTTTGCCAGGCCCCACAACAATTTGGTAATTACAAACTGGTAAATTTAACAACCACCTGTGGAAATTATTATTGGGGAAATTTGGTTGGCTGCAGCTTCAACAGCCTTGATTCATCTGTCTTCCCCCTGTATCTGATTTATCTTTCCTACAAATTGTTGTTGTCTTTTGTATATATACTCCCACCTTTAAAAAATATATATATATATGGGCTGGGCACAGTGGCTCACCCCTGTAATCCCAGCACTTTAGGAGGCTGAGGCAGGCAGATCACCTGAGGTCAGGGGTTTGAGACCAGCCTGGCCATCATGGCGAAACCCCGTCTCTACTAAAAATACAAACAAATTAGCCAGGTGTGGTGGCACATGCCTGTAATCCTAGCTACTCAGGAGGCTGACGCAGGAGAATTGCTTGAACCCAGGAGGGAGAGGTTGCAGTGAGCCGAGATCGCACCACTGTACTCCAGCCTGGGAGACACAGCGAGACTCTGTCTCAAAATATATAGATAGATAGATAAATAGATAGATATAGATATATAGAGATATATATTTGGGGGGGTTAATTTTTCAATTCCTATAAACTTTTTATATCAATGCCCACAGTATTGTTGGGGAAACTAATAAAGATTTGGTGAATACATCATCTTGAAATAGAACTCATAGTTAAGGATATAAAATATAAGGCTGACCTCTTCGTTGTGGCTACTAACTTACTCAATGTTCAGATAACAAAATTGTTGTAATGTGTTCATCATGTAAGATAAAAATCTTCACCATTAAGAGTTCAAAGGCCAGAATCATAGTTTGATATCTAACCAACTTAAAGAATAAATCTTAACACATAGGCTATAGTTTTCAGGGATTTCATTACCTTAAATCTAGGCTCTTCCACTCAAAGTATAATTTCCTTTTGCAAAGTTATTTGCAGTTGCTGTTAATCGTTACAGCAGCCTCTGGAGGATGTGGTGGGGTTCTCTCATAAAAGTCATAAAGGGATTGAAGAGTCATCATATGATAGCTATAGCCATACAGTCAATCTGCCATCAAGGATCTATGCCCATAGCACTCTGAATGCCAAACAACCAAACAATTTGCAGTTTATTTTCTTGGCAATGAAAATATTTGCAACCATTTCAATATATATTTAAGCAGGAAGTCTCCAGGATAAGCAAGAAGGAGAAACATGTATACTGTGCTACTGTAACTTCAACTTTTAGAGGCAAGAAACTAGAGATAAGATGCTAAAACACTCCTCGGGGAATTTCAGCTTCCATTGAGTCCTTACCATGAAAGAAAGAAATAAAGAAAGACAAAACACCACCCAATATAATAAAAAACAAAAGCACTGTGATGGATCAGATCTTTTTCTGGACTGAAATCTCCTTGAAGGCAGGACCTTATCTCATTTGAGTTATTATTTCTTTAAGGAGAAAATACAGCTGGCTCTGAAATTGATCCTAGAGATGTGCTTTTCCCTTTGTTGCACAGTATTATTAGACCTCCCATGGTAGTTTCTCTGATTAAGTACCTTGGACATTAACTGTCAGCCAGAGGGAAGGAACTGAAAGCAGAATAAATTTTTCAACTCTAAACTTATTAAAACTCTAATACAAATCATCACATCACTTCTGCCATAAACCATGGCAATCCGTAGAGATGCATTTAATAAGGCTTTCTGAAAAATAAATTGCTGGTGCCCCACAATACACACTTACAAACCTCTCGCTATTATTCTCTTGATATCCATGGTTTACTGTCTGTTTTTAGTCATGGTACAATGGTCTAGTCTTAAAAGAATAACAGTTAACATAAAGTTCCTAAACCAAGAGATATTCAGCATAAATTGACAAAATCGCCATTTACCTAAGTGTTTGTCATGACAATAACTTCTAATAAAGAGAATCTGATAGTTAATAGCTTCCAAGAATCAAAAATGATTCAACTCTAGTAAGTAAAAAGAATGTATCATTGAGTAAACAACCACATTAGGAAAAAAAGAGGATATTATGGAGTAACAAAGCATAGTGTTATCTCGTGTAAACATGAAACCATAGACATATTAAAACTTTGGTATATATTAGAATCACCTGGGGAGCTAATAAAGACAACAGCCTCACTGAGATAGAACACCTGGGCCTTGTTCTTTCTTTTTCTTTTTTTTTTTTTTTCACAAGTTTCTACAGAAGATTCTGTTACACACCAAATTTGAGAAGCACTGAACTTACGAGTTAATTAAAATATGAGAGAGGTGACTAGAGAGAGAAGGTGTGTGGAGGGGGCAAACAAACAAAAAACATTTCAGTGCTACTTGGCCTTTTGGCTAAGATCAAGTGCAAAAAACTGCTCAATATTAAAGGAGGTTTTTGATATTGAAGAAATTCCCACCTCCCTCACATAGATAAAATAGCACAGAGAAAACTTTGTTAGAGACCTCTCTGATAACAATGTCTCCATGTTATATTAGTGAGTGTAATGCACCAAAATGTCTCTGGGTTTGGAAATTGACTCACTAGTGTTTCTATGTAGAGGAAGTTTCCTGCTTATCTGTCCCTCCATAGAGTATAGGAAAGAAAAGTGAGAGCATCCCCAGCCTCTGGAAGGAGAAGAAGGCTAGTGGCTCTCTAAGGGAGAAAGCGCTAGAGAAATCACCAATGTCAGCTAGTAAGGGGCTCAGGCATATTCCCTTTTAATTTGAATAAATATTTTTTAATTGAATGGAACTGAAAAATAATTACATTACTCATTTATTTAAATATTCATTCTATGTGAATACTTTTTCTTTACTGCATTAAAAGAAATATATGGTCTCCACCTTCTGCCTGCTTCATGTACCATTCTGTGCGTGCATCTGGGCTCAAGCACCAGCTCTAATGCTGGGCCATCCCAGGGCGCCTCTTTGCTCAGATGACACTGAGTAAATCAGGCCCAGTGAGGCATGAACGTAAACCTCAGAGCATTGGAAAACTGCTTTCTGAAAAGAAAAGCGGATTATTTCTTTAAAATGGAAAAAATGAATGCTGCTAATTTTCCCCTGTGGAGGCCCAGTGGGAAGGAGAGGCCAAGAACATTGTCCCGTCTTCCTCAGCATGTGAGGAACCATGTATAGAAAACGAAATGATCTCTGGACTATGTGCTTTGAAGGATGGCGAAGGAAGATGAACCCTGAATCATGTAATGCTCTGAATGTGAGATCACTATTAAAACTACTGACTTCTACATGCAGACTTTTATCTTTTCTAAGTCCAAGATTCCATGACTCACCAAGTCCTTGTTCTCTAGGTTTTCCCTGTACACTGATAACTAAAGTCTTTTGACTTTTCATTGGATTACTTCACTCCTAGATGAATAGAGAAGTCCTGGGCTCCAGTAATCTTGAGCTTAACCCTCAGCTCCTTGGCTCTGCAGTTCTGATGATTCCAGTTCAGTCACTGCCCATGACTCTGGTAGGACATTCAGACACTATAATACTGTGCCCACTGTGAATACAACAGCAAAGATGACAGATATGATTCTGACTGCTCTCAGGAAGCCTTCACTCTAGTGAGGAAGGCATGTGCTAAACAAATAATAATGAAATTATAATTGGCAATTGTTATGAAGGACATTGAGGGCATGGTATGCGATAGTAGTTAGCAGTGATACCTAAACACTCAACAGATAGCTCAGAGAAAGAAACAGCAAAACAGCTTTAAAGAATGAACAGAGCAATGAGCTAAACCAAAGGCAGCTGCGTTTAGGATTTCCACGAAATTACTCCATAGTCCAAGACTTGATGTGGGAGGAAGTGAGACATGCTCAAGGAAGTGAAAAAAAAATATGGCTGGAGCATTATGAAGAAATTGGCAGAAATGAAGTTGGCTGGGGAGGAAGGAGAGGAAAAGAGAGAGAAGGGATGGCAGGAGGAAGCCAGATTCCACAGGGCTTTATATTTCACTAAAGGTTTATATTTGATCCTAAAAGCAGTGGAAAATCATCCACCAACTTCAAATGCTTTAAAAGACAACTCTCCTCTGTGTATGAAATATATTGTCAACTAATTAATAGACTGTTTTAGGAGAAGCAGGCAAGAGATGATGGCAGTTTCTGTTTGGATGGTGTTAATAGACATGGAAAGAAATAAACACACTAAAAATGTTTTGAAAATATAGCCAACTGGTTTTTGATAAAGGAACAAAGACAGTATTATGGTGAAAGACAGTTTTATTCAACAATTGATGCTGAAACAACTGGACATCATCATGCAAAAGAAAAATAATCTAGACACAGACCTTACATACTTCACAAACTTAACTCAAAATGAATCACAGATGTAAATGTAAAATATGAAACTATAAAACTAGAAGAAAACATAGAAGAAAGTCTAAATGATCTTGGGTATAGAGATGGCTTTTAGACAACTTTTGAGATACAACAATATGTAAAGGCATGATCCTTGAAAGAAATAATTGATAGACTGAATTGCATTAAAATTAAAAACTTCTGCTCCATGAAGGATGCCATCAAGAGAATGAAGACACAAGCTCCAGAACAGGAGAAAATATTTACAGAAGACGTATCTGATAAAGGACTCTCAAACCAAATATACAAAAATTGTTAACACTCAGAAAAAAATGAATAATTCAATTTTAAAACAGGTAAAAGACCTGCACATATATCTGACCAAAGAAGACACACTGGTGGCAAATAAGCATATGAAAAGATATTCTATATCATATGTCATTAGGAAGTGATAAATTAAAATAACAGTGAAATACCACTATGCGTCTAATTAGAATGCCCAAAAGTCAGAACACTGACATCAAATGATGAAGGTTATGTGGAGCAACAAACTGTCATTAATTGCTAGTGGAAATGCAAAATGGTATATCCACTTTGGAAGATAATTTGTCAGCCATGTAAAATACAATGCAATTAGGTGGGAGTGAAATAATTCTCAATACATATCAGGAAGTGATGATTTTCTAGGATTCTCCTGAAATAACCTAGAACTGAAGACTTGCTACCATGTATTTTATTGAAGGAATTCCATTTTTTTCCTAGACAACCCACATATGATCCTTTTGGGAAGCCATGGTAGTTACTCAGTCCTCAAGACATTTTAAGGTCTGATATCAAATGGCCACAGATATTTTTCTCTTCTGTTGCTTCCTTGTTTATTTCTCCCTCACCCTTTTCTAATTCTAACTTTCTAAAAACTAATTCTTCCAGAGATTAAACTGTAGGTATTTCAAGGTATAAAGAGGGTAGCCGTATTACTGAATAATATTGACTGAAAACCTCCCTATGCTAAATAATGACAGAAAGGTGGAAAATAAACCACATGCACACACACACATGCACACAAACACATGCAAAGAAGACTTAAAAACAAAGAAGCAAGATTAGGGTGTATGTTGTAAAGCTTTAGAAAAAGGTCTTATGCCAGACACAACATAATACAAATGTTGAAATAAACAGACAGGGGACTAAGAATTCTGCAATCAGTCAGGTTTTTGTCGTGGTAAAATATACCCCTTGGATAGCACAAAGTCTAGTCTGAAATGTTGAGGGCAGCATAGCAGAGCTCTTTGCTTTCTACAGAAGCTCTTTGTGAGTTTCAGTAATGAAAATCAGCAGCCCTGACCTGTGTTGACCACATCTGTAGATTCTTCCCCCATTGGCGATTTACCATAGGTAAGCCTTCTCCCTGCAATTTCTGAGGCACAGCAGACAAGGGAAAAAGTGTGAAAAGGTTACTCATTATAAACTGAGAAATGGATAAACTCGTAATTTTTAAAACATATGAAACACATGTTCCCCAGGTAAGACCTTACACTCTAAATGTCAAGCCAGAGTGAATTCTTAATGCTGAGTTATAAAGCTCTGAAAATAGAGTTTACAATGAAAATGTTGACAGGCTCTTGGAGAGACTGTAGTATAGAAAATTTAATATGTCACCTTGTTTTACAAGATTTTACTGGCATAGAAGAAAATTAAAACATTTAACATCTTTCACTTCACCAAATTGCTTTCCTCCTCCAAACTGTGGTGCTATTTGTAGCGCTATTTCATTTGTAATCCTCCTTGTTATTGTCATTGTGCCTAACACACATTCTCAACTCAGCACTCACATTTTCTTCCTGAAGTGCTAACATGCTTACTGGGGAGGCATTATCTGGTAATCTTATTCACATTTTCTGAAGGCATGTTAAGTTATAAGAGTTGTTTGTGAGGAAAGGCTGAAATTATTTACATAACTACACAGGCAACATAAATAATGCTGATTATTAAAATATTTCCTAGAAAAACGGCTTTTAAAAAGCCCTTTTTTAAAGTGAAACGTTTGTACTACAGGTATTTACACAAATTCAAGGGAAAAATAAGACTTGGGAAAAATGGCTTAGTGTTGGAAGAAACAAATTTAGACCTTCGGGCAAAATAAAGTAACTGCTTGCAGTTTTTGAACACAAGAAACCAACAAGCGTAAAAGGAGGGATAATTGTCTAAGCCAGTTATAAATAATGAAGATTTGTGTGAAAACATAGTTGTTAATTCAAGTCATAATAAGCATGAGTCTCTTGACCCCATTATTTTTATGTCTGTAATGACCATTTACTTTTGTGATATGTTAAAGGCTGCCTGGAGTAGCTGGCCAATAGGTAGTTTACATGCCTTCCTAGAATGTAGTGAAATTGTCCCAAGGTTTGCTGACCCATAGAAAGTTCTTCAAAGCCATGACAAACTTTACTTCTGACTTTTGCTAAGTGAGGTTAAAGAGATGTGTTTCAATATCATCAAATAAAAAAATCATGAACCCTGAGTATTATCCAACTACTTTCTAGCACAGTCATTATTTGATTGATCCTATTTACTTCAGGCAGAAGTATTGATCCTACAATATTGGTGCTAAGAACTTTAAAAAGATAAATATAATCTCGTATGTTTGCAGAGGGCCCACCTAGATGGGGAAGAACAAACTTTGCATGGGAAACAGGCCAATACTCATAGAGCAGCAAAGACACAGGATATGTGTCCCCACATAGAAAAAGCCTTCTTCATGGGGATTCTCTCTTCCTATTTGCTGCAAGGTACCTGGGGAATCTTTAATACTACCCTGATTTTCTGTTTTTCATAAAGCCTCACTTATTGAGCTTTTACCATTGATGGGGACAGGGAACAGAGAAATTCTAGGCAGAAAAGGGTCGGTCCCTGACAAAATCTCACCCTCAAGCTAAAAAGCCTGAAATCACCACCTAAAAGGAGAACTTATATCCCTGTTTTCCTGCTCAAATGTTGCCTTTTCCTAAACCACCCATGGCCCCACCGCATCTCATCATGTGCCTGTAAAGACCCCATACTCAGCCAGCAGAGGGGAGAAGCAGCCGGATGATTGGAGAGAAGTGGCTTGACTTCAGAGGAACAGCTTGATGGCATAACTTCAAAAAAGAATTCAGCCAGAGATGGCCAGACTTCAAGGGAAGATTACCTACCCTTCCCCCACACTGTACTCTTTTCAGCTTCTCTTCCCACCGAGAGCCACTTTCATCGGCAATAAAATCCCCCACATTTACCATCCTTCAATTTATTCATGCAACCTTATATTTCCTGGATGCTGGACAAGAGCTTGGGAGCCATGAGTGCAGATACAGGAGGCTGTCACACTGGCTCTTTGCCTTAGTTGGCAGAGGGTAGCTATGGGCCCACTGAGCTGCTAACACTTAAGCTGTCTGCAGATGGCAGAGCTGAAAGCACTGTAACACACCCTCTGGGCCTTCCGGAATTGCAGGCACCCCACCTGGATGCTGCCATGGGGCCTGCATAGAGTTTGCTCCTGCTGGCGCCCAAAAGTGCTTGCTCTGGCTCCTGTACCTGCTCGCTTGTGCGCTCCCTCCTGTGAAGGGTGTGCAGCAGGTCTAGTGATTAGAGTTTGATCCTACCGGCACCAAAATGGCCGACTGGTTCTAGCACTTGTGTACTCCAGTTGCTGACTTGTTCACTTGTACGCTCCCTCCACAAGGAGTTGAGAGCAGTGGGCTGAGTAAAGGAAGAACCCCTGTTGCGAGTCCAGTGAAGGGGTCAGGGAAACGTCCTGCTTCACTATGTTTTAGGTCCTCTGTTCAGCATTATTTGGTAATCTTCACAATAAGCATAGAAGATAGACACTATCTCATAGCCATTAATACATGAAAAAACTAGGCCCAGAACGTTTCCATGGTTGTCCCAAGTTTGCAGAACTAGTGAATGGCCAAGAGATAGATTCTGAGGCTGACTAGCTCTGAAGCCTGTGTCCCTAACCACCGTGTTACCCCACACAACTAGCAAGGTTCTGTGGAGTCTCACTGCCTAGGGAAGCTAAGACAAATGTAACATGGTCTGTGTCTTTATGAGATCTTTGGCCAGGGAAGGAGGCGTGTTTGTCTAGGAGCCTTGTAAAGATACAGTGTAATATGCTCCATGCAATGACAGAGGGAAGGATAGATTACGGTGAGCACAAAGAAGATGGAGCCTCTCCTAGTCTAGGGGGCCAGTTAAAGGTTCCTGAAGGTGGGTTGCAAGAACTGAGTCTGAGGAAGAAAAGGCAAGAGCTAGCATGATGTATGAGAGAATAAGGCATATAGAATAAAGGGTGCAAAGCCGTGGCACCAGAATGCACATTTATCAAATTGCTGTAAAACATGAAGAGATGAGTATGGATTTGGTTACAAATGAGGCTAGAGTCTGGGTGCAGTGGCTTATGCCTGTAATCCTAGCACTTTGGGAGGCCAAGGCAGGAGGATCACTTGAGGTCAGGAGTTCAAAACCAGCCTGGCCAACATGGTGACCCCATCTCTACTAAAAATACAAAAAAAAAAAAAAAAAATTAGCCAGGAGTGCTAGCACATGCCTGTAATCCCAGATACTCAGGTGGCTGAGGCAGGAGAATTACTTGGCTTGAACCTGGGAGGCGGAGGTTGCAGTGAGCTGAGATCACATCACTGCACTCCGGCCTGGGCAACATGAGCAATGATCTGTCTCAAAAAAAAAAAAAGAAAAAAAAGAAAAGAAAATGAGGCTAGAGGTATAGGCAGGACTCAGATGCTAAAAGACATTTAGGCCACCAGAAAGAGTTCTCATTCTTCTATGGTATGCTGATGTGACTCTATGGGGTCTGACATTATATACAGAGCCTGAAAAATTGTTATTTTGGACCTAAGAGGAATCCCAAGATAGTTCATGGAGTGATATCTACTAGAAACTTCTTTTTACAGACAGCAGAAGAGACACAAATCAGTACATGGAAAATTGTCTTAGACTATGTGTATTACTATAAAGGAATGTCTGAGGTTGGATAACTTATAAAGAAAAAACGTTCATTTGGCTTTCGGTTTTGAAAGCTGTGCAAGAAACATGGTGCCAACATCTACTTCTGATAAGGGCCTCAAGCTGCTTCCATTTGTGGCAGAAGGTGAAGGGAAGCCAGCATGTACAGACATCACATGATAAGAGAGGAAACAAGAGGGAGAGGGAGGAGACACCAGGCTCTTTTTAACAACCAGCTCTCCTGGGAACTAATAAAGCAAGAGCTCATTTATCACTGTGAGGATGGCACTGAGCCATTCTGAGAAATCCACTGTCATAACACAAACACCTCCCATTAGGCCCCACCTTGTGGATCAAATTTCAACACGAGGTTTGGAGGGGATGAATATCCAAACCATAGTCAGAAACCCAGGACATGGATGAGATGCATTCCTCTAGGTTTCCATGTATAAGATTCTCTCTGACAAATGCCTATGGCTATTCATTAACAGTGTCAACTCGTCACTATTCTTATCAGAGTAGGCAGTAGGCTTCAATGATATTTACAAGTTAAGAAGAACCCAGCTCTATATGCTCAGTCAATAGCAGTAAAACAAATCCTGGCTTACAATGTTTAGGTCCAGGCTAATAAAATGCTCTTGAATATACCAGTTTCTATCAAAATGTTCATACCGTTTGATTAAGTCATTACACCACTAGGTAAGAAGAAGACTTGTCAAAGGTATGTACAGAAGAGCATTTACTAAATACAAGAACATTCATTAATGAATTATTAGCAAAAGCAAAAATTCAGAAACAAATAGAATAGCTTTCAATATGTGAATCATAAACCATGAAATATTATGCAGGAATTAAAAACCATGAAACTGATCTGTAAGAACAAATATAGGAAGATGCCCAAGATATATCATTAAGTGAAAAAACAAGCCACAGGATAATCAGATAATCTCATTTATGTTAAATAGCAAAGACAGGAAGTAGATAAGTGTTTTCCAGAGCAGGAGCAGAAGGGGAGATAGGAGTGATGAAAATGTTATGGAATTAGATAGTGGTGGTGGTTGCACGATTTTATGAATATTCTAATAGTGACTGGATTATATACTTTTAAAGGGTAAATGTTATGGTATATAAACTATTTCCCAATAAAAACAAATAAACAAATCCCAGATATTCACAATGTGTATACTGAGGTGGAAGAGAACATTTATTTTATCTGCAATTACATATTCCAAACCTGGCCACTCCTGGGCTGGGACATAACTGGAAACAACTTTAGAAAAATAGCCACAAGGTTGGCTCATGGAGTGCCCAATGCACTGTGGGATTCAAAGGATGCTCCTGGAACCTGTGCCTTCTGCATCAAAGAAATACTAATTATTTTTTATGTCATGTTTCAGCCTTTGGAGATGAATTCCTTTGCAAAAGGGACCACAAAAATCCAATCCAATAAAACCAACCAGCACTGAAATTTAATGTTGAAGCTATATAGGCTTTATTAATCTTTAACATACTTTCTTAAATAGGTTTCTAGTTGGTGAAGTGTTTCAGGTAAAATCTTAGTAAATGAACCTGATGAGCAGCCTGTTTCAAGGGTGATAAAGCCTCAGGGTTACAATGAAACTGATTTTTTAAAGCAGATTTTTAAAATGTGTATGAAAAGAACAGGAGTTATAAATCAACAAGCAGATTTTATGACCATGGTGTTCATCAGTAGATTGAAGATACAGAAGCTTATCTAGGAAGAGCCATCTAAATGGAAAGGTGTGTGAATGTGTCTGTGTACTGTGTTTATATCTAAATATCTCTGGGTAACCTAAGTTAGGATGTAAATAGTGTAAACTCATTCCTTTACAGATCATCACGGGAAATATGCAGATGTGATAGAATACAGATCCTGTCACACAAACTATATCCCACATATATGACCATCTTTTTTTTAAGTTGTGATCTCACTCTGTTGCCCAGGCTGGAGTGCAGTGGTGCAATCATAGATCATTGCAGCCTCAAACTCCTGGGCTCAAGCAACCTCCCACTTCAGCCTCCTAAGTAGCTAGGACTGCAGGCATGTACTACCATACCTGGCTAATTTTTAAATCTTATGTAGAGATGGGACTTTGCTATGTTGCTCAGACTGGTCTCAAACTCCTGTCTTTAAGTGATCCTCCTGCTTCAGCCTCCCAAAGTGTTGGGATTACAGGCATGAGCCACCACTCCCAGCCCCAGATATACTGAGACCTATCAAATATTTTTTAAATTTTTGTTTAAAAAATGTTTGTTTTTTTTTTTTTGAGATAAGGTCTCACTCTGTCACTCAGACTGCAGTGCAGTGGCACACTCACAGCTTACAGCAGCCTTGATCTCCTGGCTCAAGTGATCCTTCTGCCTCAGCCTCCCAAGTAGCTGGGACTACAGGCATGCACCACCATAGCCAGGTAATTTTTTATTTTTTTGTAGAGACAGTGGTCTCACTATGTTGCCCATGCTGATCTTGAATTCCTGGGCTCAAGCAATCCTGCCATCTCAGCCTCCCAAATGTTGGGATTACAGGCATGAGCCACCATGCCCAGCCTATCAAACTATTTAAATGTGACTTTTCTCTGACACATGCTCATTGGGATTCTGAAGGTAGACATGCTACTCTGAGAAACCAAACTTTGAGGCTTAACTGCCCTCCAGAAATTAGAACTCCATAGCTCCATCTGGCCCAATTAGAGATACCTGAGTTACATTTCACAATAAGCGCTGGTTAAGAACCTGTGATAAATTCTGTGGACCTAAAAGCTGCTCCTCAGATGCTGTGGAAATTCTTTTTTTTCCTTCTTCTTTTTTTTTTTCTTTTTTTTTTTTTTTTTGAGACAGAGTCTCACTCTTTCACCCAGGCCAGACTGCAGTGGCGCTATCTCGGCTCACTGCAAGCTCTGCCTCCTGGGTGCACGACATTCTCCTACCTCAGCCTCTCGAGTAGCTGAGACTACAGAGGGAATTTTTCAAACAAGGTTTTTCAGTGGAAGCGCTTTGACCTTTGAGGCTAAGGCTCTGTCTTTTAACAGGAAACTTCCAAAGAACTCTGGGCTAGAGCACTAAGAGTCACAGGTGTGTGTGTGTGCATGGGTTTGTGTTTGTTCATTCCCAGTATAACATAGAATGAAAAGATAAATTTGGAAATTTGGGACCTACTCTGATTATTGAATTTCTATCAGAAATATTTATCATTGTTGTTTTATTGTTATTGTTTTATGTTAACTTCATGATTCAAGGTCCAAAACAACTGATTTGCTAGGTCAAAATTATCTCGCTCTTTCATGAATCCAAATGGCTTTTTCTGATTTATTCTCTTACCTCTACCAAATAATAGGCAAATTTAGCAATGATAGGCATAATGACTGATATGATTTGACTGTGTCCCAACCAAAATCTAATCTTGAATTACCATATGTTGTGGGAGGGACCCTGTGGGAGGTAATTGAATCATGGAGGCAGGTCTTTCCCATACTGTTCTCATGGTAGTGAATAACTCTCACAAGATGTGATGGTTTTAAAAAGGGGAGTTACCTTGCACAAGCTCTCTCTTTGCCTGCCACCATCCATGTAAGATGTGACTTGCTCCTCCTTGCCTTCCGCCATGATTGTGAGGCCTCCCCAGCCATGTAGACTGTAATAAACCTCTTTTTCTTCCCAGTCTCTGGTATGTCTTTATCAGCAGTGTGAAAATGGACTAATACAATGACCAATGTATTAGACTGCTTATTATAGAGTATGCAGATATAGATTATAAATATAAAGACTGTTAACAATAACTTTTTACAGGGAGATAAGTAATTGTGTTCACTAACTGTATTCATTACTTTCATCTATATATACTGCTTATGACAGTAGACGTTTAAGATGGTTGAAGTACCATACACTGAGATTTTCCATGATTTCCTCTAATTAATTTACTTGGCTTCCAGGACACACTCTAGGTTTTGATGTCTCTTTACTTTGTAGAAAAGCTTTGTATCTAATATTAATATCTTAATTCAAATGTGTTTGTATACAGTTATTGAGTCCAAATAATATATTTTACCATACACATAAAAATAGGACAAAAATCAGTACCAGAAATAGGTTCATAAAGTTATTATCCATCATTATTTCATCAGAATTGTATAACTGTGCTATCTAATGTAATGCTACAATTATTCTACTTAATGATGGGGTGCAGGACATGCTACACCAAAATGTGGTGGTTTGGAGGTCACGCTCTGACTATCTCCCACCTTTCTATGTGAGAGCTGTCCATAAAAGAAACCCTCATGTGACAGGAGTCCTGCCCCATAGCCGGGGAAGTGATATGGTCTGCTTCTGTGTCCCCACCCAAATCTCATCTTGAATTGTAACCCAAATTGTAATCCCCACGTGTTGTGGGAGGGACCTCGTGGGAGGTGATTGAGCCATGGGGGTTGTTCCCCAATGCTGTTCTCATGATAGTGAGTTCTCATGAGATCTGATGGTTTCATGAGTGGCTTTCCCCCACTTCACTCTGCACTTCTCTCATTCTTCTCCTTCCTGCTGCCATGTGAAGAAGGATATGTTTGCTTCCCTTTCCACCATGATTACAAGTCTCCTGAGGCTTCCCCAGCCCTGCAGAACTGTGAGTCAATTAAACCTCTTTCCTTTATAAACTACCCAGTCTTGGGCAGTTCTTTATAGCAGTGTGAGAACAGACTAATACAGGAAGGAATATCATACAGAGGTGCAGACAATTATTTGAACAATCAGACCTTACTCAAGTTCCCCCAGTTTATTTCCATTTGTCTATGCTCTCTGTCCAATCATGTTTTTCCACAATTCTCCACTTCTCTGATAAGACTTAGCATAAAAATATAAAGCTTTCCCTAGGGGTTTGGGTCTTCATTTCTGAAAGTTACTTGTGTATAACTTTGTTTAAATAAATTTGTTATGCTTTTTTCTTGTTAATCTGTGTTTTGTTAAAGATTAACAAGATTAACAGTGTAATATATTTTCCTTGTGATGTAAAGGAACAGATATTACATTATTTTCTCTCACATTACTATGATTTGAATCTTTTTTATCTTGACGTTTTTCAAGAAACTTAAATTTTTGTATTCCAAAAAGGTTTTCTAAAATTCAAAAGAGTTTTTGGTTACTATTACTGAGTTGTGTTAGATGTTTCTCTTGCATTTTCATTACAGTACCAGCAAAATCGAACTGTAGACAGCTTAAGAGTTGAATAAAAGAACAGAGCTCTTAAGATACTGATTAAATTTAGAATGAATAATTAGCTATTTCCATTGTCACATGAATTAGAATTCATAACAAAGAAAAGGAAATGAAAGGTTGAAAATTTTTTTTAGGTTATTTTGTTGATGTTTCTACTATAAAAAGCCTTGTCAAGTTCTCTATTGTAAATTTTATAATGTAGAAGATGTCTTTTCACTCTGCATATTTTTCAGGAATATATTTGTATTTTAATTTTATTGCAGAGTTAATTGACTTAGGAAGGAGGCAACTAAAACCCTACTCTTTAAAATGCAATTATTTAAGTTGAGGGTGTGGGGGCTGTGTGATGGAATAGGCGTTGGGGAAATATTGGTGATGGCTGTATCTCAATTTGATTTAGCAATAAAATTAAAGAAAAATGATAAGACTAGTAAACATATAACAGTTACTTATAAGACCACATTTATTTCTTATTTTTTCTTTCTCTCATGCTTTAACTACAAAACAATGGGAACATTTAGCTAAATGAAGATCATTAAGTCATTAAGAATTACAGAGTCAGAGCAATTTAATTTTCTGCTTATCATTTGAAAATAAACAATATCTCTATAAATGTAAAATGGAAAGCTCTGCACTGTAACCAAACCTTCCCAAATAGAATTCTGAGCGTATTCAAGGGCCCTGGGATACATTTTCCAGACTGCTGCACAGGATGAAGTTGACCTTCTAGGCAAAATTCTTATATTTGCTCCTGTAGAGAGAAGGAATATAAACATTTTTCTTGGTGTTTCCTTTATATAACATTTGAGTGACCTGAGGCAATGTGGTTTATTCTTCCTTCTCTTCAGTTAAGGTTTTTTTTTTTCAGGTTCTTTTAAGTAAGAACATAAAGGTCAGGTTATCATTTCACAAAATGCTTCATTCTAGCTTCTCTCACCATAATATGCTTTCACTAATTATTTCATAACTCATTTAAATGGGAGGCATTCTAGAAGAGAATTCACTGAAACAACTCCTCAAGTAATTAATTATTTTTTAAAAACACAGGGGAATTTTAATTATAATGCAGGTGTTATTTAAAAGCAGAGTGTGACAATTTGCATCTTGAACATCTATTGTAATAGGGAAGAAAAAAATATGTCCCTGAATGAAATAACAAGTCAAGAAATGCAATTTAGTTGGCCTTTTATTTTCTTGATTTTTAAGAAGCAGAAAAAAAATATGCAAACTTCGCCTGAATTGTAAAACCACTTAGAAAGATAAAAGATTACCAAATTGTGTTCCTAGAAAGATCATTATTTATGAGCTTATTTTAAAAATTATATGCTGTCTGTTTTTCTGACACAGATTTGTCATGTGTCACTATTGAATGTATAGCTATGATAGCAAAATCTTCTCATCTTAGAAGAAAACATCTAAATCATAGTGTTTCCCACAAGGAGTTGACATTTTCAAGGGACTAAGTGGATAAATCGATTTTCATTATTATTATCATTATTACCATTATTGTTATTTTCCTTAATTTGTATTGTGGAGAGTTTCATTGATTAAAAATAAATGACTGATTACATAAGAAATTGTTTACAGCGTTCTGAAATCTAGTCCTTAGATTGAGAAGCAAAGTGATAAGGGAATAAGTGTGCATCTGGATTTAGACTATCTAAGTCCCAATCTCTGGCCATAGAGCTCTTAGCTTTTTCCAGTAAGTTCTTAACCTGTCAATTTGGGTACTTAAATCACAGTTTCTGAGCATTACAAGGTAATGTATAGAGATTCACTTTCTGAAGCAGAAACTGCTATAAAAAGCAAGTCAGTGGTTTTAATGTTAAAATGTAAATGCTGAAAAATTAACAAAGACAAATCTACCTGGACACAAATACAATATAATGTATCCAGCAGTCAACATTGCTTTACCCTTGGAGGAGCCTGTCCCACGCCATCCCCAGAAGTATAAATGCAAGCAGAAGTACCACTTAGGCTCCAACCGTGCTCCTTAGAGTGTGCAGGGCAAGTCAGTGGACAAGGAGCTGTGTGGGTGGGTAGGTGTGGGGAAGGGTGGACAGGGGGTCATGGTTGTATAAAAAAGCAAAATAAAATGGGATTTTTATGTTTATTCATAGGAAATCTATTGTTATCTAGTCTTCTTACATATTAGAATTAATTCCTCATCCCCAGGAGGGTACCAGTTGTGTTAAACTCCAAGTCGAGACCAAGTGAACTCCCATGAACCAGCTTCAGTGAATCTTTTTCAGTTGAAAAGCCATTAAGAAGGCTGAGAGGAGTGCCCTGTACATGTTTTGGAAATGATTGCAAGGTCACTCAATCTCAAACGCCTGCTCTGGTCAGTACAAACTGTATTGATTGCATTAACATAATAGTAGATCCAGTGGTCAAAAATGAATCTTTTATTCCAAGGGATTTGGGCACTGCTTGCCAAAAAATCTCCCATAGATTTAACTTTTTGAAAACTTAATTCAGGCTTGCCAGTTTGTGTTCACAGATTGCAAAGGCAGATATCTGATCCAAGATTACAATATGTATGTCTCAGGATTTGTTGCCTATTTTTCATTGCCCTGAAAAAAAATATTTTGCATCATCACATGGGAATATTGAAAGTTGTTCATTCCTAATAATTATTAAAATAACACAATAATAATAATTGTTAGTTCTATTTATACTATGGCTGTCATTGAATAAGAATCTACTCTGCACTAGAGCTTTACATCCTAGATGTTGTTTGAAAATTACCACAGCCTTGGGAGGTAGGTTATTATTATGTCTGCTGAACAGAAAATACTCCAGAGGCTCAGATAGCTGGCAACGTTTAGAGTAGGGAAGATGTGCTTGGCCAGATGCAAGTTCATTTTCACGGTAAGGGTTAGGGAAGGAATGAAGAAATGCTCATGCTTTTTCCTTTTTAAGTGGCACTTGAATATTCCCAAACAGTCAATTTTCTAATCACAAAGTTTTCAATAGTTAATTAATTTGTAGGCTATTGAGATATAAAGCAAATTATTCCAACTCAGTTTGTTAAGAGTATGTTTATGTATGCACATATATGGGTGAGTTTGATCTGCTGAAATCCAGTGAAGAAGGAGGAGGAGTAGAAGGGAGACAAAGAAGGAGAGGTAGAGAGGAGGATGGCAACAGCGGAAAGCTCTCTTTATATGGCATAAAGCCCCAGGTCTTCATTGGTAAGGCAAATGTCTACTATTAACATGACATACTTTGCTAGATACACAGTAGAGGGGATGGTAGGAAAGCTTCATAGATAAGTTCAGCGCTGCTTCCCTTCTTCAGCTGTTCTCAATCTAGAGGACTAAATAGAAGTATACATGGCACAGAAACACTGCAGCATTTTAGATTAGAGCTAATTGGATAAAAATAAAATTCCCAAATTTCAGCCAGTATGATGAAGTTGCTTTCAAATGGAGGCTTAATAGCCCAGGTATTCTTTACTGATAGAACTCAAAATGACTAGAAATACTGAGAGTCAGTAGCCTGTTACTTTGCAACTTTTAAGAAAATGTTGGATGGAATGATAGTTCTTCGTTTATCTTTCCTACTTTCCTTCCCTCTCCAGCCAAGTGTGCACTCAAGCCTTTAAGAGCACTTGAGAAGCTCCTAGAAAATAGGATGAATGGTGCATGGCAAGATCATTGTGTAAAATGTGCTGACTGATTAAAGACAGATTTCATTTGCTACACTTCTTTTTATCAAAAGACACTTTGAGAAAGCAAAAATGGAAGAGGGACATTATTTAATATGGGCTCTATACAGCACCTGAGAGTACAAAACATTTTTTTGTTGTTGTTGTTTTACCCAAGCAAAGCCTACTGTTACCATTTAGTGGTGACTGGTTTATTGAGTGCTAATGCTTTAAAACTGAGATTAAATCAGGTCCATGGTCTTTATTACTGGGAAGATATATGCCCCTTGTGAATTCTAGTGGTTTGGCAATCTTAACCTCAGCAGACATAACATTGATGTATTCTGTGTTGCCAAACAGCATGGTAAGTGTTTAAAATGCTGTGAACAGCCTTATTGCCTTGAAATGATACAATCTAATATGAGATTTTAACTCAGTGACTGAATCCGTGTGCCTATCCTTGTACAGAATACTAAAGTCCAAGCCACTGTATTTTAATATCTCACAGCGAAGGAACTCTTCTTCATTTCACTACTGAAAGACAGCACATGTAAATGTGAATGTAGATTGCATGAAGACTGAAACTGCAATGTAACAGGCCATTTTCATTAACAGTGCATAGGCAGCTGCCTTTCATAATAAGGCATCAAAATATCAGCCTGCTTCATTCAAATCAGCAGACCTCCTCTGGCCTTGTGGACAACTGATGGGTGGGATCTATGAGGCCAGAAATTCTCTAGTGACTGAAAGTCAAATTGTCCCCTTTCCACTTCATTTGGAGCATTCTGAGAAAGCTGCTTTTACCAAATCTGAAGGATTTATTCCACTTGTTTCTCCTAATCAATCATAATTAACATTAACATTCAGTTCTCTCTACACTTTATACTCATCAATCAAATTTCAGACACTCATCACTCCAAGGTTCCAGTTACTTTATAGCCTTGATTTTCACCATCAGGATGTCACCTGGCCTGTCTCCTGAGTAGAGGGGGTTTTCTGCATCTGCACCTCAGTCTGTCATTGCTAAAGCAGACCAGGGACACTTTGAGGTAGAGTGACCCACTGTCCTGGTTTTACCTGGCACTGAGGTGGCTTCCCAGGATATGGGACTTTCAAGTGCAAAAGCCAAGTCAGTCCAAAGAAAAGCAGAATGGCTAGCCAGTCTACCTCTAGGTAAAATCTGGCTTAACTGACTATGGAAAACTCTGCCTTCATCAGTTTGGGTGGCTATCACAAAGTATCTGGACTGGGTAGGCTGTAAACAACAGACATTGATTTCTCAAAGTTCTGGAGGCTGGAAATCTGAGATCAGGGTGCCAGCATGATTGGTTTCTGATGAGGGTCCTCTTCTGGGTTGCAGATTACAGACGTCTCATTGTATCCTCACATGGTGAAAGGAGCAGGGGTGTTCTGTGGTTACTTTTATAACGGCACTAATCACATTCATGAGGGCTCCACCCCATGATCTAATTATCTCTCAAAGGCTCCACCTCCCAGTGCTATCACATTGGGGGTTAGAATTTCAATATACACATTTTAGGGAGAAAAAACATTCAGTCTACAGAGTTCTTAGTGGAGAAAAGCTACAGAAGAGTGGTTTGAAGCTACATATGGGAATTAACCACATATCTATGAGATGTAATTCTTTATAGCACCACCTGACAAAATCACATCTTTCAGATTTCAACTTTCTCAGACCCTCACTAGGAGAGTGCATGAAGGAGTGGTGATTCTGCCCAATTGTCCTGTTATTGATGAAAATGAGTTATTCTGATCAGTCTTCCAAGATGAGACTAGACTAAGTAGGACCTGGGAAAGAAAACCCATAACAAATGACTAAACAGCCTATGATTCAATATTGTTTTTATTGAGAACTAAAGATTACGTTGAAAGCAGCCCTTCAAATCTGCTTACCCATTCATAACTTAAATTTATTTCAAGTTCAATCTGCTTGCCTTGCTTTATGGTCAATATAAAAGTTAAAAAAAAAGACAGGTTTTGGTCAAATCTTTATAGAAACAAGTAAAAAAACTGATTCTTCACTTTGCAGGTCTAACATTTCAGGGGCCAACAGAAATAATTATGAGCTGCCTTCTAACCAGAAGAGTGGGGCAGAAATAGCAATATCATGGGTTCCAGAATGGTCAGTACCATTTTTTCAGAGTCTACATGACTTCAGTGTATCCAGGTGAAAACAAAAACTGTTCATCTTATTACTCAGCTGTTGAGCCAACATGTTACCAAGCGTTAAGAAATTTGGAAGCACTAGAAGGAATTTTTATTTCTTACTTGACATGTATATGTTGTAGGCCATGCCACTATAATTAAAATAAAATTTACTCTTCTTAAGGCCCCACAACAAAAAAATGGACTCTGCAAAAGTTTAGCATTTAATGAAGCTGTAAAGTAAAATTAGCAAATTATATTTTCTAATATTTTTCTGTTAATGAGAAGTCCTCCCTTAGATATAAGTAGTAAGTCAACTTGAAACAGTTTTGTTTAAAAAAATAATCTCATAACTTTACGCAGCCAGTTGAGGTCCTATGACTGTTTTCTAAGATAATTTAAGGAGAAAGGTCAGTCAAATCCATGACAGAATAAACATGAATCTTTTTACATCTTTCCTTTTTCTTAAAAATGTGCGTTGTTGGTGAAAATGTAAATTAGATAGCCATTATGAAAAATGGTTATGTAGCTTTCTCAAAAAACTAAAATTAGAATTACCATATGATACAACAATCCTACTTATGGGTATATATCCAAAGGAATTGAAATGAGGGTATATAAGAGATATCTATACTCCATGTTAATTGCAGCATTATTCACAACAGCCAAGATGTGGAATCAATCACGAATGGGTAAAGAAAATATGAGATATATATATATATGTGTGTGTGTGTATATATGATATACATACACACACACAATGGAATACTATTCAGCCTTTAAAAAGAGTAAATCCTGTTATTTGTGATAACATAGATGAACCTACAGGATATTATGCTAAGGGAAACATGCCAGGCACTGAAAGAAAAATACTGCATGATCTCACTTACAGGTAGAATCTATTATAAAAAAGTCAGACTCATAGAACTAGAGAGCAGAATGGTTACCAGAGGCTTGGGAAGATGGGGCGTGGTAAGGAATGGAAAGATGTTTGTCAAAGGGCACAAGGTTTCAGTGAGAGAGAAGAAATAAGCTTTTAATATCTATTGCACAGCAACGTATATATCAAAATTGCTAAAAGAGTAGATTTTAAATGTTCTCACCACAGAAAAGAGAGAAGTATGTGGTGACAGATATGTTAATTAGCTTGATATAATCACTCCACGATGTATACATACATCAAAACATGACATTGTACTTCATAAAAATATATAATTACTTGTCAACTTAAAATTTAAAAGATTTTTAAAATGTACATTATTTCTACAAAAATTATTTTCTCATCCCCAAAAATGAATAAGAAGAAGAGAGGAAGGAGGAGGAGGAAGAGAAGGAAGAATCCACCTACCTGCTACTGCAACTTTTGCTGTCCGACTAATAATTGAGCCAGAATCTCCTAAAGATGCCTCACATTGGTAAAGTCCCTCATCTGGCTTGTGGTGTCTGGAATGAAGTATGTTTTGTATCAGCAGAGACCCATTTGAAAGTTGCTGCTTCCTTTCATCCATTCCCAAGGCCAGATGAATGCCATCTTTCTTCCACTTGATCACTGGAACTCCTCGGTCGGACTCCGCGGAGCAGTCGAGGAGGACATTTCCTCCCCGCATTGTGACGGCATCAGAAGGTTCTGAGAGGAAGCGCAGTGCTGTGAAAGCTTTAATTTGAAAACCTGGAACAAGAGAGCACAGGGAAATATGTTCATGTATTCAAATAAATCTCAGGCTTAGATTCCCTGTCTTTTCTTTACAAAGCTTTTCACAAAAGCTGAGGGCTTTGAACAATGTCCAAGAATAAATAAAAACTAAAATCAAGGATATTATGTTAAATAAGCAAAAAAGTACCCAGTCGAGGTAATCATAATTAAGAAAACAATTGGCTCCAAAAGTTAATATTATGAGAAATTACAAATTCATATAAATCCTGGCATGCTTATTACCACATATCAGTCAGTACATGAAAATTTAGACAGAAAAAACTAATATTTTCCAAATAAAATTAGATATTTTAAAGTAGCAATAGTTATTAGTGTGGTAGCTAAGACTTTTGGGGAGACTATTTCTATCTCTTCATTCTGATTATGGCATCCATTGAAATTTTTAAAAAATCCAATCTGATACAGGGTTCTATAAGAATAAAAGTCAACTCTGAACAGCATGGGCAAAGTTATTTAGGACAAAGCTCAGGTGGGTTTTAAAATAGGTAAATCCCACTGGCAGAAGCAAGTCAATAAAGCTACTACCTAAAATCACAAATCCCTGAAGGGTCTTAATTTTCATCCAAATGTTTCTCATGGGCTTGGAAATCTAAATAAATATTACAGTTGAATTTGTTTCATAAACGTAAATGAACATAAAGAATCAACCAAGGGTAATAGAAATTCATTTAAGAATCTTGAGGGGAGGAAGCAAGTATAATCAGTTAAAGTATATTGTTTTTGAAGCTGGCAGTATAGCATTTGACAGAATACTCACATGTTGAGTCAAAGACCTTGACAAGGTTTCAGGAGGTCATTGGCTCCACCATTTGCTCAGACAGGTGTATACTTAAATCATTCAAGTCAAATTACTTTCAATTTCATTTTGAACAATCTTTGGGGCTAGAGATTCTACAATGTCCCTCGGTATCTTGTTTTCAATATTTAATCATTTTAAGAGTCTAACTGAATTTTCTTGCTGATGTTTAATCCCATTTTCTCCTGAAACACCTTGTGTGAAAATGCAGAAGAGATGGACATTTTCTTTAAGAGCCCTTTATTTGTTTGAAATGGCATTTCATTTCTTAAAAAATACCACCTAAATTATGTTTTAGTCTTCATTTTTTTTTTCCACGATAGCAACCTTGACTTCATTAGCTTCCTTCATTTTTCTGTAATGGGAACACTTTTCGTTGTACTTTGTAAAATCATTCCAATCTTCTGTCATTTAAAAGGCAGGCATCTAAATTGCAGGTAATCCATATTCTCATAAGGGGTTAACTCATACTGGTCCTGATGGACAGAACTATTTCTATCTTTGTACACCCCATTTTACAGTGAAGAGAAAGCAGAACAGCTTCTTACGGTTTCTCCCTGGTTTTATTTGCTTCGTTCCTGCATACTCAATTTTTCTAAAACTTACGTTTGAAGTCTGTTATTCTGCCCAATGATGTCTTGTGTCGCTCACTGTCATATATTCATTCCTTTCACCTTGGCCACTCACTCAGAAAGCATCTGGAACTTTGCTTGAATTAATATAAATTGTAAAATAATGGTGAGCACATAACTCTATTATAGATGGATATTGATAAAGATCCCAGATGACAGCAGCCTGGTGTCTTTATTTTCAAATAAGCTCCTTCTCCCCACAGATCCTTTTGGTGTAGTCAACCCAATTATAGTACATCCTGTTCTTCTAGTGGGAAGTACATTGAATTGGCTGTCTGGATATCTAGCCTTAGGTCTTGGTTTTATCACTTCAAAATTCATGACTCAGAAAGGTCTTTTAAGCCCTCAGAAACTCAGTTCCTTCATCTGCAAAAATTAAGAAGTTGAACTAGATGATCTCTAAGTTCAACATCTAGTTTGGAGGCTTTTAGAACAAGATTGAATTGAGAGCATCTGTCAAATGAACCCTGCTCTAAGCTTGCTGAATCACTTAAGGCTGATTTTGCTGAAAATACCTTTCCCATGTCTACGTGATCTCTTCCTCTACCAGAAAAGAAACACAAGCTAGCAAACCTGGCTTGAGAAACACTAAGGATGAGACAGCAGAAAGAAGTTCTAATGTCCTTGAATGCCAAGATATTTCGCTAGAGTAATACCCACAATTTCCATACAAGTAGCATTAATAAAGAAGAAATAAATTTGAAATTCAAGAGCAGGCAACTATATTAGAAAGCATGTATTGCTTTTTTGTTCTTCCTGGGGCCTATATTTTAAACACAACCTCATGTTAAGCACCTTATTTATGTCACAGAACACATAATACATTTAACACAGCTGTTTATGACAGCATGTTAATGAGCATATGTGCCCATTATCACACATAAATAATCCACTTAGTCTGAAACAAGGAGATTATGACAGTTTTCAGTGCTGTGAGTACATAGATCAACTTTAACACAATTACCCTTGCAGTTCAATGGCAATTTGAGCTTTTTGTACTCTTTATAACAATTATATTTTGAATATATGGCTTTGGGATATAGGCACCTCACTGCTTTAAGTAACTTGCATTAGTGATTAGTTTTATAGAAAAGATGGATCCTGGTGAATCAAGTTAATTGAGAAATAGTAGATATGATTCTATTGGTCTCCTTTTCTAAGTTTCAGCTCATGTTAGTGACAGTGGCAGGAGGCAGACAAATTCCCAGGCAGACAGGGGTGGGTCCCCAGTGAAACCCAACCTTCAAGCCGAAAAAAGCCTAAAGCCTGAAAACTGGGCTGCTGGTTCTGAATGGAGTCTGTGACCAGAGTGAGAACTTCTGTTCCTGTTTGCCTGTTCTTTCCTGATTGGTTCTTTCTGAATAATTCTTTTTTTTTTCTTTTTTTTGGGCGATGGAGTCTGGCTCTGTCTCCCAGGCTGGAGTGCAGTGATGCGATCTTGGCTCACTGCAACCTCCGCCTCAGGTGACTCTCCTGCCTCAGCTTCCCCAGTAACTGGGATTACAGGCATGCGCCACCACACCTGGCTAATTTTTGTATTTTTAGTAGAGATGGCCATGTTGGCCATATTTGGCCAGGCTGGTCTCAAACTCCTGACCTCAGTTGTTCCACCTGCCTCAGCCTCCCGAAGTGCTGAGATTACAGGCATGAGCCAATGGGTCCAGCCTGAATAATGCTTTTTAACCAATCAAATATTGCCTTTTCCATGGCTACCTACAGGCTGCACCTCCCACATTCTGAGCCTATAAAAACTCCAGACTCAGCCACACCTGGGGACTACCCACTGCAGATCGCCTCTCCGCCCAGAGATGTTCTGTCACTCAGTAAAACTTTTCTCCACCTTGCTCACTCTCCAGTTATCCAAGCAACCTCATTCTTCTTGGATGCAGGACAAGAACCTGGGACCCATTGAACATCAGGTGCAAAAGGAGCTGTAACACTGTAGCCCTCCAGCCCTCCACTGCTGCCCGAGTGGCCACCCAAGACGACAAGAAGCTGCAGTGGGGCCGGGCCAGCCCAAGAGCTGTGGGCCAGAGTAGTGCAGCAGGACTGAATGAGCTGTAACACAAAGGAGCCGAAACACACTCCTGCCCACCCCTTGCCCCGTTCACTGTGCTGCATATGGCAGGAAGGAGAGAAGAGCTGCAACCCTTCTGGAGGTGCAGACCTTGGGACTCCCGGAGCCAGAGCTCTGACACACCCTTGTTTGCTGGGCTACGGGAACAAACAAACGGTGACATGCTGTAACACCCTTTTGGGGCTCTGTGGTTGTTGGCGTCTCTAAGTTTTTTGGGTGTCACCGTGTTCCCCCAGTCCAGACACCAGCATCGAAGGCAGAATTTGCTTGCAGTATGCCTGGTCCAGCTGCCGCCTCACAGGGAACCAGCGCCTGTGCCGGCACCTAAAGCTGCCTGCCGCACTGCAGCAGCTGGCGCACCTGGCTCTGTGCGGTGGTGGCTGGATTCCGCACTCACTCACTCACACACCCCTCACCGCTCCATGCCTGGCACGCCTATGGTGGGCGTGGGATCAGGGGTCGTAGCACGAGCCGACCGCAGCCTGTCAGACTGAGTGGGCAGAACCAGCTCAGCGGCCAGCTCGGAACCCAGTGAGGCCCAGGCAGGAGCGCTGCGTGTTGTGGAAGATTTCCGGCTGGCGAAGCGGCACTGAAAAATACCGTGTCATTAGGCAAGGCTACCTTTAACTTCCTTGTATTGCACACAGGACTAAGAAATGTCCCACGAATACATTACATTGACATCAATTTAGATAAACCCCCTCAACCCTTTCTCTTAGTGTACTGGTTCCATTTGGAGAGATTTTGCCCACCAGTATATAATTTCTTAATATAAAATAATTTTATAAAATGACTTCATCCAAGGATTAATCTTAAATCAACTACGCTGATTTAATGTATGAAGAGAGGAAGACAGAGATGATAAAACTGAAGAAGACAAGAAGTAGAAATAACTTCGGAGCCTGTGGCTCAAAAAGTTGTAGTCTGGAATTAGGTACTCAGAGTTCATTCAAAGTGTAGACCTCCTGGAAAATGCATGGAAGGAGGTCATGGGAAGGCAACAGAAGAACTCATTTTGAGAATCAAAACTAAACTTCCGATTTTACAATGCTGCAGAGAATTTCATATTAGAATTACAATGGTGAGGATTTCATCCAGGTGAAAACCTAATGGAGAAGTTTATTTTGTTTGGTTTTATTTTTAAGATGTCCAATGGCCATCCCCTTGAACCCTCAAATAGTTACATTTCCAAGCCTTGCTTCATAAAGAAAGAAATCCTTTGAACTCTGCCATAAAATTACTTAAGACAACTATAATATATTGTGGAGAAATAGACTGGAAAGTTCCCAAATCTCATCCATTAAGAAACTTACACAACGGAGTCTGACATCAGAGTTCACCATAAAAATGAGTGTTTCCATCTCTCTCTCCCTCCAAATGTTGGTTTGGGAAGATTTCTAAATTTTGGTTGAAATATAGGCATAAAGCCATATATGTATTTAACTATTGGCTAGCGTTTCTTATCTATAATTGTCTGAAGAAAAGTAATGAGGTGTCAGATCATCATTGGGCCTTCTCCTCCTCCTCCTCCTCCTCCCCTTACACTTCCTCCTTCTCCACCTCCTCTTTCTTCTCCTCCTTTTTTTTTTTTTCTGTAAAATGATAGTTTGTAAGCAGATACCAAGATAGCAAAACCTTCCATGCTTCCTGATGAGGATATAAAAGAAGGCCTACCCTTGAGGAATGACCTAAGGGAGAACTTTTATTATCTATGTTTTAGTTTTCTCAGACATAAATAAGCATCAGAAATAATATTGCCAAAGACATTTCAAGTTTATATTAATTATCTATACATAGAGAATATTCTTAATATATTTTAGAAACTCACCAAAATGATCAAATAGTACAAATATTTCTCTAAGCTTGGTCCCTTTGTGCTTGCTCTCTTTATCATATTCTTCTCAGTTCCAAAGACCATTCAGTCGCAGAGGCAAACTAACTTAAAATGAGGTTTTTAAGGTATGACATTTTATCTACAATATCAAACATTGTTAAGTGTAAAAAATAATTCTCTGTGGAGTCAGAAATCTCTTTCCAGGTCCAAAATGTAAAAGCTTCTGGTTAAGGCAATAGAAGCTCAAAATGAAATTTATAAGAAGTAGCTTGGAAGTGGGGAAAAAAGCTCCTACAAGATTTTGAGATTAGAAAATGTCATACAAATCCCCATAGAACTTGCTATGCATAATTGTATCACTTAAAATTACACAAACTTTCATTTTGGGGTGCTTAGAGTTTCTGATGATCCGTGAATCTTCATATCAACCCAGAAAACCATGCCACTATCATCTTTTCTTAGAAATAGATGCTACCACATTTGCTTCTTTTGGCTTAAGACAAATAAAGAGACCTCCATTGAAGGAAATAAAAATAATTCTATGGATGATGCAATATAATCTACTTTCAATTTATCAAATATCAATTACATGTACAACTTTAACTCTGGTCTTTAGCCCTGGAAAAAAATTATAATACTTATGAGGCCATGCAATGGAGCAGGAATTTAAAAAACAAAAACAAACAAACATGAATTAACAGAATCCCTAAGCATATGTTAACTTCACTTGGTTTAGTATATCAGAATACAAATTCTGAAACAGTGGTTCTCAAAGTACAGTCCCTAGACTAGCAACAGCAACACCTCCTGGGAACCTGCTGAAAACGCACAATGTTAAGTAGAACAATGGTTACAAGAGGCTGGGAAGGGTAGGGAGGGGATAGACAGAGGTTGCTTAAGGAATACAAAATTACACCCCTTAGACAGGAGGAGTAAGTTCTAATGCTCTATAGCACTGTACTGTGACTAAAGTTAACAATAATTTGGTGAATATTTTCAAATAGCTGGAAGAAATGATTTTGAATGTTCCCAACCCAAACAAATGATAACTCTTTGAGGTGATAGATGTGCTAACTAGTCTGATTTGATCACCAAACATTGTATACATGTAACAAAATATCAGCCTGTATCCTATAAATGTGTACAACTATTGTGTGCCAATTAAAAATAAAAATACATATTAAAATGCACAATTCTAGGCCCTGCCCCATACCTACCCAATCAGAAACTGTGGCAGTAGAGCCCAGCAATCTGTACTTTAAGAAGTCTTCCAGGTAATTCTCACGTTAACTAAAACTCTAGAACTTTGCTCCAAAACATCTGGTGGCCTGGATTGGAGCAAGGGGGTTCTTGTGTCCCTTCTACTATCTTGCCATGACTTTTCATATTTGAGGAATTTGTGTAATTTGGGTTGATTATTTTTCTAAGTAAGTAGGTGAACTTAGAAGGATAATCTAGAAAGGCAAATAATTGAACACTTATTTCAACACGTTTTATTAATATTTATTATATATTTCTCTTTGAAAGGCTGAAGTGGAGAAAGGATCAAGAAAGAGGACTATTGTTTACAATACCTAATCTTTCCTCTGTTACAACCAGCACACTGTTTGGGCCCCAAATGGCCTTACCCCATTAAGCAAAATTAAACTTCCATGGTCATTTGGACATTTAGAATATTCCTTGGAATATTCTTGATTCTTCACATAAGGGGCTATGAGAGGATTTCTTCTAAACAGTGACAATAACTACAAGCCTCTTCCAAAAGAAGTTTGGGTTCATCCAGTATTCTTTATCACATTGCCTTTCTTTTATTCCATTTTAGTTCCACAATATAATTGTAGACACTTACCAGGCTGATCTGCCCCTTAGTCTAGTTTAGTCTCTAGATGGGAAAACCACAATAGCCATTTAACTGTGCTGTAGCCTGAGGGTGTGCTTTGTGTATTTCCCATTAATGGAAGACTTTAATTTCCGCTAGACCAGAGAGAGAAAGTGTGCACTCACCAAAGGACCAGCACCTATGACTATTGGGGTTTCTGTGAAGCACTGGTGCCATTTTATTCACTTTGATAAGACATTAAAAAATATTGTCAGAATACATGGTCATATTTTTAAAAGAGTACATTCATTCCACAGTTGCCAGAGACTAACACTTTAAAGCCATTTAAGACAAATTTTTATTACTAAAAAATGCAAATCAGAAATGAATTAAGTTATGTGGAATTAATTCCTGAACTTAAATAATGTAAAAAAAGGCTGATCAGGAAAGAAAACATATACATTTTACTATGGGAATTTATTAAGGATCATTAAAATATAGGGAAGCTATGGATGAAAATTTAAGTGAAAATTTAAAAGGAACAGTCAAAGTTTCTCCCTCATTAGAGTTGCCAGATTTAGTGAACAAAAATTAAGGACACAAGTTATATTAGAATTTCATATGAAAAACAAATTTAGTATAAATTTTAGTATAAACATGTCCTAAATACTTATACTAAATAAATATTGCATAAGACCTACTTATACTAAAATATTATTTGTTATTTACTCAAAATCAAATATAACAGAGCATCCTGTATTTTATCTGAGAAACCTATCCTCCATGAAATTCCTTCTTAAGACCATAGCTAAAGTAAGCAACTAGCAAATAAATTCCTACTGTGCTCCTCAGTTGTCACATATCTAGAGAAGAGTAAATTCTTGGAAAGCTAGCATGACTGAATCAGGAAGTGATTTTAGTGTCAGGACATTTGCTGACCAAGTGCAACACCACCAAATATTCTCAGCAAAAGGGTGCTGAACCGATTTGCTCTTGATACCCTGATTCTTCTTTTTCTCTTCCCTTTACAGGGAACTAAATTTGGAAATATAAAGGTAAGATGTGGAGTTCACAAAGCAACTGTCCCAGCTGAAATCTCTTAGTGAGCCCACACAGAGGCTCCACATCCGACATTCCGAGCACATGGCATCTTCCACAAAGCTGAAGAAGCTTTGCAGAGATCTGAGGTTTTTAAAGGGCAAGAAGTGTGTGCCCCAGGCAACTGCCTGAGTGTCCTCTGGCTAAATCCAATGGTAAAGAACAATAATAAGGGCTAAGTTGGAGCGGGAGAGTAACTTCCTCATTCCTTTGTTGCCCCAAGAGCTAACTCTCTAAGCTGCAGTTTGATTTTGCTGTGTGATACCAGGAAAATTGTAATGAAATTTTTTTTCCAGCCCAACAAGTAACATTTCCGGACATGTAGGTTATCATGCCCCAGGTCTCATACAAAATTAACACTAAAAAGAGAAACTTTGATGTGTTGCTTAATCTGCCCTGGGTTTGAGCCTTCTTCCCTCTCAGTTTGATGAAATATAAGCTAGCTTTAGCTTCCGTGTTTTTCATCAGTCTTTCTCTAAGTAGAGAGAGGGATGGCATTTTATAAATGCAGAACTGTCAACTAAAACACTAAGAAGTGCTCTTGTGAGTATTTAGAAAAAGTGTGATTTAAGGAGTACCCAGTGCATGAGATTTTCTCCATTTTGATGGCAGCCAAGTAGACAAGCTTTGGAGATGCCATTTATTGTGAAGTGACCAATCAACTTTTAGAAATCTCTTATCAAGTTACCCATATTTAGTGTACACAATACAAAAATATGGACATAAAATCATATATCATAATAATTGTCCATAACCTTGCTTATCCAATAATGATCATTTTAACAGAAACTGTTAAAGTTTCTGTGCATTTCCTTCCAGGAAATTAATTATTTCTTCATTTATAATGATTTGCTTTATTATCCACATGGTTGTGATCATATTTTATATTCAAATTTGATACTTGTTATTTTCAGGATCCTTCTACGCCCATTCTTAATTGGATTGTTTTCGGTTAGGTTTTCTCAAAGGGGAACTCATTCATACTACATGTCATAGTTCTCACTTCTACTTGGAAAATTGCTTGCTTTTTAGTGGCACATTTATGGTAGCACTTTGTCAGTAAGCCTAGTAAGTTTGAAATTTTGCTTTAAAGGCCAAAGGAAAAATATTGCATTGACAAAATGCAATTGAAACCATAAACTTTGTAATATTATTTTGTTTTTACTGTAATGCTTAGCAGTGGTGTAAAAGATATTTAAACATCTTCATGCCATTCCTTCATCCACCTAATATTTATTGAGCACCTACTGCATCAGGCATTATTCAAGGCTGGGAACAAACAGCCTTGAAGAATCCAATAATAAACAGCCTAATAATCCCTATCCTTCTAGGTTTTATATTCTAGTAGGAAGGAACAGACAATAAAGAACTAACTGAGAAAATATGTACAATGTCAGAAGAGACTAAGTGCTATAGAAGAAAATCAAGAGGGAAAGGAAGGAGTTGTGGGATTTGGAGAAGGTTTCATTGAGGAGGGCAAGACTTGAGCAAAGACCTGAATATTGTGAAGAAGGATATTGTCATAGTCTGCTTCAGCTGCCATAACAAAATACCATAGATTGGGTGGCTTAAAAAGATTTGTTTCCCACAGACTTAGAAGCTGGGAAGTCCAGGATCAAGGTGTTAGCAAGGCAGGTCCCATTCTCAGGCCTCTTTTCTTGGCCAGTAAGTGCCCACTATCTCACTGTGTGCTCACATGACCTCTTCTTTGTTCATGGGGAGACAGAGAGCTCAGATGTCTCTTCTTCTTCTTATAGGAAAGGTAATCCTATCATGGGGGACTTACCTTTATGATCTTGTCTAACCCTAATTATCTCCCCAAAGTCCCACCTCTTAATACTATAACATTGGAGGTTAGGATTTTGATACATGAATTCTGGGGGATGCAAACCCTCAGTTCATCACAGACGTGGAGCAGATATATAGGGGAAGAACACCGCAGGCAGAGGATGCTAAGGCACCCAGGCAGGTGTGACGAGCCCACCCCAGGAATAGCTGGGTTGGAGTGAATGAGAGAGTTCCAGCAAGCAAGGTCTGAGGGCTCACAGTGAGATTCAATGGGACCTCATAGGCAAGTGAAAGAATTTTGCTTTAACTCTGTCAAATTTACAGAAGAGTTTCAATAAGGAGAGCAAAAAGGTCCAATTTATGTTTTAAAGTAGTAGTTGTCAATGGAGGAACAATTTCATCCCCTAGGAAATTTCTGGCGATGTCTGGAGGCATTTCTGGTTGTCACAACTGAGAGGGGTGCTACTGGCATCCACCATGTAGAGGGACGTAGCACATCCTACAATGCACAGGTCAGACCCTCACAAGAAAAAATTACCCATCCCAAAACATCAGTAGTGATGAGGATGAGAACCCCTGTTTTAAAGGATCACTCTGGTTGCTGTCTTGAGAACAGAGGTCATTGGAAGAAGCAGAGAAACTAGATTGGAGGCTATTTCCATTGTTCAGGTGAGAAATGATGAGATTTGGCCTAAGGTATTGCAGTAGAGGTCATGAGAAATGATCATATTCAGGACCCATTTTTAAAGATAGAGTCAATAGGGTTTTGAGGGATGAGATGAGCGTAGCTCAAAAAAGAAAAGAGCCCCAGAAGACTCCAAGGAGATTAACAGAGCAATTTATGTAGTTTATATGAAAAAAGAAGGCACTTTCAATTGCAAAAGAAAGCTCCCAGCACAAGGGTCAGGAGACCTGAGTTCTTTGTCTGATCTGCCCCTCGTTAGCCTTCTAAGTGTGGGCTACACCACTGGGAATCAATTCACTCATTAATAAAACAAGGAGGCATCTTCAGCTCTAATATTATAAAAGTCTATGAGTTCACACCTATTAACTTTGCTACTTACAGAAAAAAATTACCCTCAAATTTAGGAGGAAATTTGTCATACTAAGAGATTTGCTATAATCACCCTCTGATCAGTTTATCACAGACTGAAACAAGACCACAAAGAGTACAGTTACTGAAGGTGCCAAGAGACCAAGAACCTACCTCATTATCCATAAAATAGAGAGTCTAATCTTTTCTCTTGAAGATAAAAGACTGCAGAGGTCACTTTGCTGACAAAGCGTGGGCTGCTTTATTATGATTCATGAGAAATGAAGTATTCATCTTGTGGAAACTCCTATTACAAATACGAAGGATTAATTCCACAAAGGTCTGACAGGTCCAGGGAAAACCTTAAAAATTCAGCAAACCTCATGGTTGACATTGTGGCATAACGTCTGATGTGGGGACTCATCAGTGATAAAACATTTGTATTATAACAAGTCCAATTTTCTAAAGATAGAGGCCAAATAGCGATTTTCATTAAAATGCTGTCATTCATTTTGTCATGATATTTACTGTGTCTTGTCTCAATAGAAAGGTGATATTTTTCTGCTTAGTCCATGAATGGTATCAAGAAGGAAAACCCACAGTGATAACAGAAACATCAGCTTTGGAACTAAGCACCAATGAGTTTTAAACTGCTCACGAGGTCAGCATTTATTAAAGGACTTCTCAAATAACTTGTTTTATAGATGGTGACTTAAGTTCCATGGGGGAAGACTTGGGGAGCAAGAATGAAGCCTCTCTAGAAGGTCAGAACTGTAAGGGAATTTCTGGCGTCTATATGTGCAACTTATTCATGGTCTAATGTGAACCTCAAGGATGAAGGACCTATTCATGTGTCTTCACCTGAAGGAAACTGAAAGATGAAGAAATATGCATGCCTCTACTTAAAAGGGCTTACTGCATGCAGGCGTTGGTTGTTCCAAATTCTAAAAATATTCTAATTAGAGCCTTTCCTAGAATCCATATTCAGGACCCATTTTAAAGATAGCATCAATAGGGTTTTTGAGGGACTCTATGTGGGTTGTTCAAAAAAGAAAGAGCCCCAGATGATTCCAAGTAGATTAATAGAGCAGTTTTTATAATGTATATGAAAAAAGAAGGTATTCTCAATTGCAAAAGAAAGCTCTTGGTTAGTACCTTGGACCCACCATACTAGCAGGCAGGGGCCAGTGCCGACGGCATTCACATGGCCTCTGACATGGTGTGATTTCCGGTAGTACCTTAGAGCTAGTGATACATTTTAAGCCAAAGAGTAAACATAAATTCTCATCAGGTTCCTCTTTTACAAAATGTAAACGGTAGACACAGGCCTGTGCAGAGACAGAAAGTCTTCACTGAATAGCAGTGACAGACTCAGCTCTCAGAAGTGATAGCCCTTTATTGTACCTCTCTTGTGGCTCTGATCTTCCTGTTGCAGATCATATTTTTGAGAATTTCTACCTTATTATGTTGCAAACTCCAAGGGAGCAAACATGAATCATATTGTTTATTTCATACAACCCCTGGGAACCCTTGCCTATTTCAGAGGTATTTAACAAATACCTGTTGAATAACCAAACATAGATAGACAAAAACGAATAATTTGGAAAAATTTCTTCAATCAGTGAAAGAAAAATCATAACATATGTTTAAAAAAAATGGACCTAATTCTGCTAGGTTGGTGGTGAATGACTGAGACTACTCAGTACAGTCATGAGCTGCATAATAATGTTTTGGTTAATGACGGACTGCATGTATGACAGTGGTCTTATAAGCTTGTAGTGGAGCTGAAAAATTCCTATTGCCTAGTGACATCACAGCCATTGTAATGTAGTAGCGCAACATATTACTCACGTGTCTGTGGTGATGCTACTATAAACAAATCTACTGTGCTGCCAGTAGTATAAAAGTCTAGCACATACAATTAGGGAGGCCGAGGTGAGAGGATCATTTGAGATCAGGAGTTTAAGACAAGCCTGAGCAACATGGCAAGACTCCATCTCTACAAAAACATTCTTTTTTTTTTTTTTTTTTAAATAGCCAGATGTGGTAGTGTGCACCTGTAGTCCTAGCAGGTTAAGACAGGAAGACTGCTTGAGCCCAGGAGGTTGAGGCTGCATTGAGCCATGTTTGTGCCACTGCACTCCAGCCTGGGTGACAGGGTGAGACTTAGTCTCAAAAAAAAAAAACAAAGAAAGAAAGAAAGAAAATTAAAGGTTTATAAAGTAAAAAAAAGTTACAGTAAGCTAAGGTGAATTTGTTATGGAAGAAAATAATTTTTAAAATAAATTTGGTGTAGCCTAGGCGTACAGTGTTTATGAAGTCTATAGTAAGTACGGTAACTTCCTAAGTCTTTGTATTCGATTACCACTCACTCATTGACTCACTTCTCATCCTGCAAGCTCCATTCATGGTAAGTGCCTTATATAAGTCCATCATTTTTAATCTCTTGTACAAAATATTTACGTGGCTTTTCTATGTTTTGATACACAAATACCATCATGTTACCTACAGTAACTGCCTATAGTATTTAGTACAATAACATGCTGTACAGGTTTGTAGTTTATGAGCAATAGGCTACACCATGCAGCTTAGGTGTGTAGTCAGCTCTACCATGTAAAGTTTGTGTGAGGACACTCTATGATGTTTGCACAATGACAAAATCACCTAACTATACATTTCTCAGAACGATTCCCATCATTAAGCAAGATGTGCCTGTGTTACTGTCAATAAAAACCATGCTTATCAGTATCTATACTGATAACATTTTCTGTCATATTCTGAGACAGTGGTAAGGCAAACTTTCCATCAAGGGCCAGATAATAAATTTTTTTGCGCTCTGTGGACCAAGAGGCAAAACCGAGGATGGTATATCGATACTTATGTTGCCATGTAAAAGATAACAATGTAAAAATGATAAACCGTTATTACAAAAACAGGCAGAGGGCCAAAGTTGGCCCTCCTTTGGGCTGTAGTCTGATGACCCTGTTCTGAGGTGATACTGCTGATTGACAGCGAGGGGCATCAAAGCTCCGAGCTGCCATCTTATGTTAAGCTCTCCTCAACACTCCATTCTTTTGGTAATAGATTTAGCATTTATAAGCTTTAAAAGATTGGTCTGTTGGCTGTACATCCAGGTGAAGTTCTTCATCGTATTCATTCATTCACACTTATTATCAAACACCTACTAAATGTCTATTAGCTCTCTGGCTTCCTCATTCTCTCCAACAGTCCTCTAGTCCAGAGCCACAGATCCTTTATTTCATTCCTCCCTCCTTGTCCCTGTCTTCACCACCTCTGGATATGCCCACTGTGTCCAAGGCTACTACTCCCCGCTGTACCTATTCCAGGGGCTTCACCAAATGTATTCCAATTACCTATGAAACATAAAACACATGCCATTTTCATATCATCCTGTCCTAAAAAGCTCCCACAGGATGAGAAAATGGTCTTACTAAGTGTGTTTTAATCTTCCATGAAAAACATATTTAAGATGAAGATTTCTTTGGTTTTCTTCTTGAAATAAAGGCAGTGCAGTCTAGCCCACTCTGCTGTTGCACAGTAGAGTTTTTTTCATTGGCTTTAAAAAGATGTCTGGGTAACTGGAAGTCCTGCAGAGCTAGGGAACTGTCAAAGTATCACCAGTGGTGTCTTGTGGGGTCTTGGAGTTGTTTAACCACTATTTACCATTCCTGGTTGTGCTTCTATCCAGCTGTTTTTCATTAATTTATCTTATTTGATCTTTAACAAATTCCTTTCACGTCGTCTCTAATATAAAAAAAATCAGTAAGACTCAAAGCAAAGACATGGTCTCCTGAGCACCATTTAGGAATAGTAAAAGCCTAAAATTTATCTAAATAATAAACAGCAAGTCCCCTTGAATGATAGAGACTATAAATCCATTGAGGGGTTCAAGTGTTGTCATGAAATACTCAGAACTAAATTTATATACAATTTTGAGACAGAAAGCCAAAGTAAGGTCAGAAAGTGTGCTGAGTTTATTGAGTATAATATACCAGTCTCTATCTCAAATGTGGGTTCCCCCATAATTCATCAGCTGGAGACTTTTCATCAACATGTGACCCCAGATATCCACCTGCTTCCACTCTTGTTCTGCCCCACTTGTGGGTTCTCTCCTAATACCTGTAGCTCTTTTAACCTCATATTACGTCAATGTCATAGGAGCTGGGGACTAATTAGTTATCATGAGAACATAAAAAAAGTCACTGTTTGCTATATAACATTTTTATTTGTATAATATGTACTAGGATTGTAATTTTAAAAACTATAATTACTGTACATTTTAAATAATATTAGCCAACCCTATTACTGTCTTTTAATGTAATCAAGTAAGTGAAATGTTCTTCCTTTCCCTTTCAACTTTTTTTCTCTGCAGTTCAAAAAACAGTATGAAAAATGTGCCCTCGCTCTTGCACAGCCAGAGGAATGAATAATGTAGACATAAAAAAACCTGATAATTATCAAAGTCACTTATATACAGCAAGATCCATTCTCTTGCACAAAGATGGTCTAGTGGTAGGGATAGGAATTACTGACCATCTTAAATCATGGGCCAGGGTTACCCAAAGATTTGCTGAGGGTTTGTGTTGTAGCTTACAAACACTGGGTGATTTTTCTGTTTTTTTTTTTTTTTATGTTTACAGTAAATTAAGAGTGATTGATAACAGCCTCTTTTGATCCTATTGGTCAGGGAAAGGTTGTTAACTTTATTTTGCAGGTAGGGACAAAGACCCAGAGAGGTTAACTGTCCTGACCAAGGTGACACAGCTCAGAAGAGGACCTAGTAACAAAATGTCAATGTCTGAATTCCTGTGTAGGATTAATTCTAGATCACCTTTCTGCTTATATATGTTATTTCTTTTTCTCACACTGTTTAAGCAAAGAAGTAGGGCCAAACCAGCTCAGAGATGGAATAAACAGAATCACACAATATTAATTGAAATATTTGATATAGACTGCCTCTTAGCTACTGTGATTCTGGAAAATCCTCATGGAGTGTTTGGTATTGAAACCTCTTTGTCATGTGTGATTGTTAATACTGAGTGTCAACTTGATTGAATTGAAGTATGCAAAGTATTGTTCCTGGTTCATCTGTAAGGTTGTTGCCCAAGGAGATTAACATTTGAGTCAGTAGACTGAGAGAGGCAGACCCACCCTCAATCTGGCTGGGCACCATCTAATCAGCTGCCAGCATAAAAAGATGGAGTCTTCCAGCCTCCATCCTTCTCCCATGCTGGATGCTTCCTGCCCCTGAACATCAGACCCCAAGTTCATCAGCTTTTGGACTTTTGGACTTATACCAGTGATTTGCCACAGCCTCTTGAACCTTCAGCCATAGACTGAAGGCTGCACTCTCAGCTTCCCTACTTTTGGAGGTTTTGGGACTCAGACTGGCTTCCTGGCTTCTCAGACTGCAGATGGCCTATTGTGCGACTTCACCTCGTGGTCATGTGAGTCAATTCTCCTTGTAAATTCCCCTTCATATATTCATCTATCCCGTTAGTTCTGTCTCTTTAGAGAACCCTAATACATCATGTAAATATATAATCTGGGAAGAGGGACAAAGTAAGTGATTCTATGATATCCCAAATAACTTGGTGTAAAATGGCTTATCATACTACTGATGTTGGCAACCAGTGAGCCCTGGAGGGATGAGCCTAGGGTTAACACAGAGTGTTGGCAGGGTGGTCAAGGGAATTCCTGGGGAAGGTCTCCATGAAGACAGTTTCTCTGTTCTTCCAGCAACAAATCAGAAGACCCTGAGTGTCTGACATGGAGGGAGCTGATGGTGGAGAAGGATACAAAATTAGAACATCTGTATCATCTTTAAAAGAGTAATACAAAATTAGAAAACCTTTATTTTCTCCTCAGGGCTATATCTGAATTATCAAAAGCCTGGATTTATTACATATAATGGAATCTATGAAGAAACAAGGCATTTTCTTATAAGAATTTACAAGTATCAGGGCTTTCAAACATTTATGTCACCCAGAAAATATTTATTGATCTACCACATATATTTATATCTTATTTACTACTCTCAAAGTTAAGAACTATGCCTACAATTCTGCTTAAATCCCTTTGCCTGTTTGGGTTTAGCAGTGCTGAATACATAATAGATAATGGTAACTTTTTTTAAGTATTGAACATTGTTAGTCTCAGAGAAGGAGAATATCTTTCCATCTTTAACATACTTAATGAACTAAAGAGGATAAAGGAAAAGGAGTGAACATTTTTTACTTCCTTGAGTAATTACTTTCCACTGGGTCTAAAGCTTGGATTGCTAGCTGCAGGCCTCAAACCTTACTTATGGGGATGCAGGGCCAGAGAAACTCAGACTCTGCAGATTAAAGGCATTCATGGATACCCACCTGGATACAAGATAACATCTCCTATATATAGAGTCAGTAACATAGTCAGCCAAGGTTTTAAAAGTAGCTTTTAGATGAGATTGCTGTTGAACATCAGCATGCCAATCATTTTTTGCCAACAATGTCAAATAAAGTATAATTTAACAAAAAAACGTGTATGATACGGGGACAGGCTAATTATGACATTGTGCATTTTGCTTTTGACTAATTTCAAGCTAATCACTAGAGTGATCGCTAGGATCATCATATAATTTACTATATATTTCAGACACTTCTGATACTGAAAGGAGACTTGATTTATAATTAAGCCAGGACAACAGGTATAAACTGCAAAACATCTCATGTACCCCATACATATATACACCTACTATGTACCCATGGAAGTTTAAAAAATAAAAATAATATATATTTTTAAAGTGTATAAACTGGAATTGTTCTAGGCAACCTAAGATATATGGTCACCTACTTATTACTCTTTTAAAGATGATACAGATGTTCATAATTACACTTTAGTTTGAAATATATTTATTTTTATCTGGTAGTGATAAATATTGTCAAGCACTAGAAACAGAATTAATTATATTGAAATATAGAATATACATTTCTATTTCTGAAATGTATAATATACTCTTATGCTTCTGGATTTTCAGTTAAATTTGAATTACAGAGAATCATGCCTCATTCTCATCTTAATGTTGTTTACCCATTAATGGAAACTTCTTTCGGTGTGGATAAAATGCCAATGTCTGCCAGATTCAGTGGCTCTTACCTGTAATCCCAGCACTTTGGGAGGCTGAGGCAGGAGGACTGCTTGAGGCTAGGAGTTTGAGACCACCCTAGGTAACATAGCGAGAACATGTCTTTACAAAAACATTTAAAAAATAGCCAGTTGTGGTGGTACACAGCTCTAGTCCTAACTACTTGGGAGGCTGAGGTGAGAGGATCACTGGATTCCAGGAGTCTGAGGCTGCAATGTGTTATGATCATGCCACTGCACTCCAGCTCGGGCAACAGAGTGAGACCCTGTCTCAAACAAAAAACAAAAAAAGGCGGTGTTTATTGGTGTACCTCCTGACACTAACTTGAAAGGGATGGCTGCAGACTAGTTACACTAACATGCAGCTGAAAACGAACTGAGACCAAATGATCAAAAATGTGATGGGTCTAACTGAAGGAAACTGTGAACCAAGAAATATCACCAAAGTATTGACTTCCTTGTCAATTTGCAACGTGACTATGAAAAATGATACGTGAATCATGTTAGAAAGGACTGCAGACACTTAGACACTGCTAACTCCACTGGTCTTGACCATGAAGAATAATGGCAGAATGAGGCATGGGAGTTAGGATCACAGGAGAGAACCCTTCTCCATCACATTCAGTAACTAACTCACAACTCTATGCCATTTTGCTTAATAGTGGTGAGTTTGATGCTTTGACATGGATAAATGTGTTCAGACAACCTTCCCAGCCAATGCTGACATCAGCAACCTACAGTTAAGCATGGCTGTAGCTACAAACAGGGGACATTTACAGAAGATTGACTTAGCATTTTTGGTTACATTAATTATTAACTCATACAAAATACTCTCAAAAATTTACATCTAATGAATCTTCAAATGAACACATCAGGACAGCATGAACGTAACTACTAGATAAACACTGATTACATTTTTGAACTTTTTCTTTCAGAAGAGGGAAGAACAAATGAACCAATACTTTAACCTATTACATGATTTAATTTCCAACTACCTGATTATTGTTATGTTGATTTTTAGAGAGGAGAAAACTGAGCCTGAGGATGTGACAAATTATAATTTGCCCAAAGAATAAGTATGAATTTGAAATGTATTGGACTTCAATCTCCATTTCTGACAGATTTATTTCTCTATATCAGAGGTCTGCAAACTTTCTTCTGCAAAGGGCCATTTAACTATTTTTAGCTTTATGGACCAACTACTCCACTT